>NC_000001.11:230275030-230426545 GCF_000001405.40 Homo sapiens
ACATATATACACATATATACATGCCACATATATACGTATATATATACACACCACATATATATACATGTATACACACCACATATATATACATATATATACACACCACATATACATATATACACACCACATATACATATACCTGCCACATATATACATATATAAACACCACATATATATACATATGCATGCCACATATATGCATATGTAAACACCGCATATATACATATATACACACCACATGTATACGTATATATAGATGCCACATTTATACATATATAAACGCCACATATATATACACACCACATATGTATACATATATATACATGCCACATATACATCTATAAACACCACATGTATACACGCCACATATATACATATGTAAACACCACATATATACACACCACATATATATACACGCCACATATATACATATATACAAACACCACATATATATACATATACACACACACACCACAGATACATACATATATATACATGCCACATAGATATACATATATAAACGCCACATATATATACATATAAACACACCATATATATACATATAGATACATGCTACATTTATATAAACACCACATATATATACGCCACATAGATATACAAGCACAACATATATACATGCCACATGTATACATATGTAAACACCACATATATATACACACCACATATACACACCACATATATATATACAAACACCACATATATATACATATATACATACACCACAGATATATACATATATATACATGCCACATATATATACAAATATACATGCCACATATATACATGTATATACATGCCACATAGATATACATATATAAATGCCACAGATATATACATATATAAACACCACATATATACATAGACACCACAGATACATACATATATACATGCCACATATATATACGTATATATACATGCCACATATATATACGTATATATACATGCCACATATATATACGTATATATACATGCCACATATATATACGTATATACATGCCACATATATATACGTATATATACATGCCACATATATATACATATATAAACACATATATACATATATAGACACCACAGATATATACATATATATACACACCACATATATATACATATATACACACACACACATATACACACAGTTTCTTTAAACATTTCAGAATAGACTTTCTACCTGCCTTGTAAGCCGGTTTTCTCTGACGTATTCCCTTGTGGCAGCTTGTGGACACACCCTTTCTCAAGGCATGGGGTAACAGTTAGTGTCAGGAATAGAAATGCAAGCACAAAAGGTCCTCCCTGTATGCCCATACTTGGAGTGCCTGCCCCTGTTCTTACAGTCGGTCCTTAGAGATAGATGGGATGTAGGGAAACTGAGGCACAGAACCTACTGGAGCCAAGAGCCTAAGCCAGCTTCTAGTCTAACCCTGATTTCACAACAGAAAAGTCTCAGAAAGTCATTGCCTCCACCCTGGAGTCATCTGGGAAGACCAAGGCCAGGACCGAGTCCCCGGTTCTGACCCCAGTTGTCAGGGAGACGCCTGCAGAGGGCCCTCTTTCACCTGTCTGTCTCCAAACCCCTGCGCCAGCTCTGGGTGCTCCTCCTTCCCTGCTCTGCAGAGTCCCAGCCTGTCCTGGCAGTGGGAGCCCCTCTCTAGGGTTCTGCTCACAATCCGCATCTCTAAATGTCCATCTGTGTTGATGACTTGATACCAAAATGTGTAAGGGAGTGCCTGTTAAACAAGAGAAGGCTAGCACCGCTTGGACCCAAACCACCTAGAAATTGCCTCACTCATTGGCCCCTCGAGAGGAAGCTCCTCGAGGGCAAGGCTGGCATCTGCTGAGCCAAGTACTGGGTGAGTCTCAAACACATTCCCCTGGGATGTAACGGAGCAGAGATGTCTTTGGATGTAATGGATTGATAAAGTGATGACTTTAGTTGACACCTTTTTAAAAAACAAATATTACTTCAATATTGCTTAATTTCAAGAATTGACAGGTGTTTCTGCTTCAGTCCCAGTTTTGGGGAACCATAACTGACACGGCTTAGGACCTTTGTGAAGCATGAAAAGACCTATAAATAATAAGTTTTTCTGGATGTATGGCATGTATAAATGGGGATCTGTTAGGTTTTAAACCCCAAGACTCAGGCTATTAGAGAGGATGTGGGGGCTGTTTCAGTAGAGTCTGACTGCCTTGAAAATCTGCGCTCCCCACCCCCAACCACAATCCCATCAGACAGACAGATCAGAGCCCACAAGGCCACCTGTGCGAGACGGAGCTGGGGTTTTGTTGTTGTTTTTCTAAGGTTCTTGATTTAGCTGATGCTTTGACACATGACAGGCAGTCCCTCCAGTGGCCAGAATCAGATTCCGTTCATTCCGAATTCTTTGTTGAGAAGATTCCTGGCTGCTCAGAGTAACAGGGCAGCCTCAATACATACACACTTTACATGACAATGGGGAAAAACAGCATGAGGGGTGATTGACAGCAACGAGGGAGCTGGAAATGAAAGAGGCAATGACAGGCACTTAGCAAAAGCCTCCCCGGCTCCTCTGATTGCACTGTCTTTCCCTGCTGGCAAGAACTCCAGGTGAGCAGGTGGACGGAAATAAGGAAAGCAGGGTACAAGTGACAACATCCTTGTGGTGTTTCGCGCAGGTCGGGTCCCCAGCACTGGGCTCCTCTGCCTGCACCGGCTCCTCCCTGCCTCACTCACTGGCCCCTCAAGAGGAAGCTCCTTAGCAAATTTTATCTTGGAACTGAACTGGCTTTGCCAGTTGGAACATTTGGTTTCCAGGCACGTCCATGTTTTCATATGTTGTGCATATTTGCAGAGTCAAAGGGGAAAGGGAGGCAGGAGTGAGAAAATTTAATTCTGCAATGTCAAAAGGATTTGCAAAAAATACTTAGGTGAAGGAGCTTTCGTGCACACAGTATAAAAAATTAATTAGAACCACAGACTTCATTATTTGAAACGAGCTTTGGGGAAGAAAAAAATGTTACTTTTTTTTTTTAAGAACAAACATTAGAGATTTTTAAAGGGGGATTTTTCTGTTTTTCTTTCTTTTTTTTTTTTTTTTTAAGAGACAGGATCTCACTCTGTTGCTTAAGACTGGAGTGCAGGGGTGGGTATGACCATAGCTCACTGCAGCCTCGAACTCCTGTGCCCAAGCGATCCTCCCACCTCAGCCTGCAAGGAGCTAGGACAACAGGCATGCACCACCATGCCCTGCTAATTTTTTTTAAAAAAAATGTTTGTAGAGATGGGTTCTTGCTATGTTGCCCAGGCTGGTCTTGAACTCCTGGCCTCAAGCGATCTTCCTGCCTCGGCCTCCCAAAGTGCTGGGATTAGTGTCGTGAGCCGCCTGCACTCAGGCTGAAAGGGGTATTTATGTTACTTGCTAAACAGGGCTCCTCAGATTTCCTTCAGGCTGGGTTGTGCACTTTGATTCTGGCTTAGTTGGTGGGTAACGGGTATGTGGGTTGAGTTTGGTTGTTCGCTTGATTTGAGTGTTAGTAAAGAGGCATCGTACCCTGTACTTTACAAGCGGCATGTTCAGAACTCAGCAAACATTGGTCCCTGCCATACAGAGCACCAGGGGGCTCAAGGGTAGCAGAGACAAGTTTCTCATATCCACCAAGGAGCTTGCACACCAGTAGAGAACAGACTACATAGAAATAGGCTTCTCAATGCTATGTTCTGTTCAAACAACCATCTCTCTTCCTGACATTTGGCCTGACACCGTTCCTCTGGCTCCCCCGAGCAGAAAGCCCTAAGTGGGAGCATGGAGGTGCCCAGACCAAGGCCTCCAGGCAGGGCTGCTTTCCAACAGCCAGGGGAGGATCTGGCCCTGCATTGTGTGGATCCCTTCTTGGGGTGAACCATCACTGGATCAAGCTTTCATACGAAGGCATGCAAATTCCCCTACATCAAATCCTGTGTTAATGACGAAGGGGTGGGTGCCCAGAGCTCTGGGGCTCAGAGGAGGGGACACCCACAGAAAGTTTGGGGCAGGAGACGTTCTGAGTTTTGATCCAAGGCAGAGAATATGTTTCCTTCCTGGGTCCCAGCAGCACCTGTGGCTGGTTTCCTGTGGGGCTGCTGCAAGCTCCTCGGCCGTTCAGATGAGAGGCTGGGAAAAACGTGTCTATCTGTGAGTTTTTAATGCAGCCACAAGGTCCTGAATTCACACGAATCTGTTTGTACTCCTTTGCTTGTGCCCACACTCTAAGGCACTCTCCTGTGTCTTGCAGAAATGGGAACAGATCGAGGGCAACTCCAAGCTGAGGCACGTGGGCAGCAACCTGTGCCTGGACAGTCGCACGGCCAAGAGCGGGGGCCTAAGCGTGGAGGTGTGTGGCCCGGCCCTTTCGCAGCAGTGGAAGTTCACGCTCAACCTGCAGCAGTAGGAGGGTCCGGGAGGCCCTGCCGTCCTGTCTCCTGCACCATTGGGTGGAGTCTGGTGATCACATTATTGATTATGTTTCTTAAACTTTCCGCGAAACTAATATACCTCAGTATTCCATCATGGTCTGAAAGTCAAACTTCGGCAAGGCACGGACGACTGTGCAGACACAGCAGCGGCAAGAAGCGAGAACTGCCCTCCCCCTCCTCTCGGTGCAGCCCAGCCGGGCCCCCTTCCCCAGGCCGGAGCGCCCCTCTTCCTTCCAGCTTTCACTTCTGCCGGCTCCGCAACTGAGTGACACCCAGCGACAACCGACTGGGGAGTGGTAGAAGCAACTGAACGGATGCGTGCGAGCTGAGGACAGGGCGGGAGGAGGGGGCACACATGCCCCAGGGGAGCGAGGAGAACTCTTGAAATCTCCATTTTCAATCCCTTCGAAATCACGTATGGTTTCCACAAAGCCGAGTCGTGTCACGTGGCAGGTTTACGTCAATAGTCCCTCTCTCTGCTCCTCCATTCGCAAGTGTCTTCCTGGGCCAGACTCCCCTCCACCTCATGTACTTGCTATATTGAGGATGAAGTTTTCTATGGTGGGACACTAAATATAAAGCTATATAGAGAAAGAATGTACGGTCAGTTCCCTATGGTTTCTGTAGATCATCGTCATCTTGTATATTCCCCACAAAGCCGTTCGCAGCTTCCGGGAGAAGGGGCCAGAGCCCGGTGGGGCCAGTTTCTCACAGAGGGAGGAGGTGGCCTTTGTCCCCTGGAGCCCGATCAGCCAGTTGGTGCTACTGCTGTGGCCAGCTGGGGGGCTTCCTCCAGACCACCGGCCTCGGCCCCGGCATCCCTGTTGGGCGTCAGCCTGAGAGTCCCTACTGTGCGTCAGAATCCACCTTGCGTGCTGTGCGTATCTGTGAACCTGGAGCGGTTACTTATTTTGACAGATATCACTTTGGGTCTTTTTACATTAAATTTCTTTTCTCTAAGGAATATAAGACATACCCCATAGCTCTGTGTGAGCCAGCAATACCGCTGCCCCCTGGCGACAGGGCAGACCAATGATGCCAGGCAGCTGTCACACGCTAGTATTGGCTTCATTGTGATCTGAGCCCTGCACGCTGGGCCTTCAGAATTAATGGCCAGCAGTGTCAGGGATGAGCCCGTCAGCCAGGGCACAGGCCTGGCTCACAGTCCTGCACACCTGCTGGCCTGGGGAGCTCCAGCCAGGCAGCGAGTCCTGCCCCGCCCGCAGCTCCCTCCCACACCCCGCCTGGCCAAGATGACTGCTTCAGGGGGCTTTGGGGAAAGAATTAGGAAGGGTCAGAACCAAACAATACCTGCTCATTTACACTGAGGATTCAGGGCGGGAGACAGGAGCCTTGGGGTCCTGTTAAACCACAGACAGTTATGAACTGAAAGTCATAACGGGGAGAGGTGCCTGGCTTCTACCTGGGTGCTCAGGAATGTTCCTCGTCACCCCTGCCACTCTGTGGTCGGTGCCCTGCTTCCTCCTCCACTCCTGGCCGCCTTCTCCAGCGCCGCACACACAGATGCTCAGTCTCAGAGAGGCTGGCACGGCCTGGCAGTCTGAGAAAAGCGTCAGTTAGGCACACCTGCAGGCCCCTCGGTGGGACAGCGGCGGCCTTGGAGTTAGGAGCCACCCTGGGAGGTTGTGCCGGTGCCATGCTCCTCCCTGTGTCTTGTATGAAAGGGGCCACTGTGTGTCTTCCTCCCCGGCGGGAGCCCCACATGTGTGCACTGTAGGACAGCGGCCCCGAGGTGGAAGCCTGGCTGGAGGGCTGCCCTATAGGTCTTCTCTTCCCGCCTCCCCTGCCATGCAACCAGATGTGTTGTGAGTGGGCAGCGTGCCCCCACGCTGGAGTAACTCCGCACGCTTCTGTCTTTCACGGTGGGCGCTCGGGGGGAGCCTGAGGAAAACCCCCTTAGGTACCTGTGCGAGGCTGTGGAGTGCAGGCCAGAGCAGGGTGTGCGTAGCCCCCAGCACCCAGGTTCTTCTGTCAGACCCTGTGACCTGCGAGCTGCTACTACTGTAAGGAGGGAAATGGATGAATCTGGCTCGTTTTAAAATCACGTTTTCTGACGAATCCTTTGCCCCTTCACCTTTACCCCGCCCGCACCCCTAGGCCCTCTCAGCCTTCCTATCATCCCACGTGTCTACCCAGACCCTTGTGCGGCCCATGCCCTGGGGGCGGCGTCCTGTCCCTGAGCTGGGAGGCGGCTTTGGATGGTCCGGGCGTCAAGAGCAGGGGTGGGCCGGGGAGGGGTCCTTTGCGGTGAGCTATGTTTACATGACACAGTGTGCCAAAGTGACTTACTGCGGTTGCGTTAGTTTTTAATCATCAGGACTATCTCACCCTCCCACTCCTGTTTTTAAAACTCAGAATTCTTTCCTAAGAGCCCTTCGAGCAAAGCGTGCCGAAGTTAGTTGTCTTCTCTGTGCTGGTCCTTTCTTATGTCCTCATAAAAGCTCAGATGATGGTATCTGTGAGTATGTTTTGCAAATTCAAAATATAGTTTGGTAATTTTTTTTTCCAGTTGATTTTTAAAAAGAACTGCTGTACAGAGCTTGTACTTTGTCCATTTTATAGATGGAAACCATCCTTGAAAATTGTTTAACTTAAATAAAGAGAAGATACTTTCTAGATACCGCTCTTTGCTGGCCAGAGTCTGTCCTGGTGTGTGAGGGCTGGGTGGGGTGGGTGTGGGGACTGGGATTGGGGTCAGCCTTCTGCAGCTCCTGCTCAGTGGCTGTTTCTTATCACCTTTTGCAGATGCGCTTTTATTGCTGTGCCCTTTGGTTGGTTATTCTTACTTGTAATAATAATCATTATCATTTGTGGAGTGTTTATGATGTGCCAGGCACCCAGCCAAGCCCTTAAATACATTTGCATTTTACAGCCACAGGGGAAGCTGGTGAAGGAAGTTGCTAGCCTGCTCAAGGTCACGTCCTTCCTGTGTACCTGCCTGGAGCCAGCCCTTGGCACTCGCACCCAGACCCTGTGCTCCAAACCAGGGGACAAATATTTTTACAGTTTTTCAAGTAGTTAAGATTTATAGACTTGTTTACCAGTTACCTGGGGCTCTTCGGTTCCATCCAGGCGTCTCTGAGGTTCTTCAGATACTATTTGTTTTATTTTATTTTTTTTGAGACGGAGTCACCTAGGCTGGAGTGTGGCGGCGCAATCTCGACTCACTGCAACCTCCGCCTCAGTGATTCCAGCGATTCTCCCGCTTCAGCCTCCAAGGTAGCTGGGATTACAGGCACTCACCACCATACCTGGCTAATGTTTTGAATTTTTAGTAGAGATGAGGTTTCACCATATTGGCCAGGCTGGTCTTGAACTCCTGACCTCAAGTGATCCGCCAGCTTCGGCCTCCCAAAGTGCTGGGATTACAGGCGTGAGCCACTGCACCTGACCTTCGGTACCTTTTAAATTCCTGCATTTGAGCCAGGCCACAGTAGTGCGTGCCTGTAATCCCAGCTATTCAGGAGGCTGAGGCAGGAGGATCGCTTAGCCCAGGAGTTTAAGACCAGCCTGGGCAACGAAGTAAGATTCCCATCTCAACAACAGAAGCAAAAGTACCTACATTTGAACAGCCCCACAAGGGTTCAAGGAAACATAACCTTGACCAATTATTTAACAATTTTTTTTTCAAGACAGAGTCTCACTTTGTCGCCCAGGCTGGAGCGCAGTGGTGCAATCTTGGCTCACTGCAACCTCTGTCTCCTGGGTTCAAGTGATTCTCCTGCCTCAGCCTCCCGAGTAGCTGGGATTACAGGCCCCCACCACCACACCCGGCTACTTTTTTGTATTTTTAGTAGAGACGAGGTCTCACCATGTTGCCCAGGCTGGTCTCAAACTCCTGACCTGAAGTGATCCACCCGCCTCGGCCTCCCAAAGTACTGGGATTACAGGCATGAGCCACCGCACCTGGCCCAAATTATTTAGCAATTTTGATTGACATTGGGGTGAAGTAGGAGGTTGGCCACTGGCAGGACTGGCCCAAATGAGTGTCTGAAACCTTCTAGAGACCACATGTAATCCATTTTCTTTCCCTATTATTTGGGACACCAAAAATTTGCTGCCATCTGAGAAGACTAAAGGAACTCTCAGCATCGTTTTGTAGCACCCACTGGAGCCCCTTAGGGATCCCGTGTGTGGTGCCTGCTCTGGCAACAGGGAGAGGTTTATTTATTCGGTAACTATTTGTTGAAAACCTGTGTTGTGCTGATAGTCCCAAAGAAGACCCAGGCTGAGGAGGAAACACGTTAAATGGTGACAAATAGGACAAGCCAAATGCAGGCTCTCGGCCTGGCGGGTGCTGCACCCTTGTTGGAGCCGTGTCTCAAAGGTTCTGTGGGATTCGGACTTGGCGAGGGAGAGCGTTGCCGGCAGGGGCTCAGCGTCTGAGAAGTCCCATCACCAGGACATAGCAGCAAGATCCCCTGATGGGGACAGCCTGGGAGGAAGAGGACAGACTGGCAGGCGGGCCCGTGTGTGAGCATTGTGAATGCTGGGGAAGGCTGTGGGGGTGGGGAATGACAGGAGTTCCTGACTGGAGCAGAGAGGGTCAGACTTGCAACGCTTTTCAGAATGAAATATCCAACCCAACTCAGTGATTGGATTCTGCGGTATAACTTCACATTGTCAAGAATATTCAACCAGAAAAATAAAATGCCTCTGACACACTCTTCTGTTCATGGACTTACCTACAGAAGAGAAGAAAAAACTCTCTTCTCAGCAGTTCTTGCCTATTTCTCAGCAATCTCCTAATACAATTGCTGTATTTGATTTTATGCATTGTTTGTGCCTGCAAATAACATACATCCTGTTTCCAAAAGCTGTCGTCTCCCCTAGGGTTCCAAAGAGGAGTGTTCGCTTAGCAGTTTCTGCCTGAGCTCCTGGGGTCCCAGGCTAGGGTGGTCTGGACAGGGGCTACAGAGAAGACCTTTTGGTCCTCAGCCCAGGTGACACCCACGGGTGAGTCAGATTTGAACCAGACTCTGGATGCAATTATAAGGAGCATTGTAGAGCAGTAGCCATGATTTCCTCTTCAGGAATAAAGACCCAGTCTCAACAAGGTGCCAGCCTCCTGAAGGGCGTGGAAAGAACCCTTGCGCGGCACCGAAGCCACTGATTCACATTCGCTGCGGAGTTTCCCTGAGACTGTCCTTCTTGCTCTCAAGTTGGCAGAATTGTCTATTGGAGAGCTTCCATAAAAAGCCCACCTAAATGGAGGCGAGATTAAAAGAGATGTTGTCTTGTATAACAAGAAATCCAAAGGTGATGGGATTCCACGTTGATCCTGGGGCTTGACATTGCTGTGGACAAACTGCTCCCTATCCGAGCGCCCCTCCCCTCCATCCCCTCCCACCGTGGTTCATTTAGTACAGTGGGTGCTCGGGTCTCCGTCTGTTCACGTTGCTGTAAAGGAATATTGGAAACGGTAGGTTATTTGGCTCATGGTTCTGCAGGTCGTACGAGGAGCATGGCTCCAGCGTCTGCTTCTGGGGAGGCCTCAGGAAGCTTCCACTGGTGGTGGAAGGCAGAGGGGAGCAGGCATGGCATGGCGAGGGGGGCGGGAGGAGCCAGGCTCTTTTCAACAATCAGTTCTCACTCACTCCTGTGATAATGGCACCAAGCCATTCAGGAGGAACCCACCCCCACAGTCCAAACACTTCCACCACGCCTCACCTCCAACATTGAGGGTCAGAGTTCAACATGAGACTTGAAGTGGACAAACGTCTAACATTTATCACTGAACAGACCTGGAGCGTGCTGCCTCCTGTGCATCTTTGTTTTTTGACTTAGGGAAGATGCACCTTTGCCAGTGACCACCCCACCCCTTAGTCTCCCCACCCCTTAGTCTCCCCACCTCTTAGACTCCCCACCCCTTAGACTCCCCACCTCTTAGTCTTCCCGGGTCGCACTGCCCAGAGCCGGGTCCTTGGGAAGCCGGGAAGCAGTCACCTCCCACCTCCTCCCATGTCATGGAAGTGGGTTTTGCTGGCAAGGAGGACAGGGAAGGGATGACTACTCATTGAGCAGCCCAGTGCCCACCACACTTGCCATCACTGGAAGAATTCTGGCAGCAGCAGATGGACAGGGGTGGCAGCGTGGTCTCAGGATTCCTTCATCCTAAGAGAGGCAGTCGCAGACCCTGTTGAGCCCCTTCACCCTGTTGATGCCATGGACTCCTTTGGCGTGAGCCATCAACTCAGGGCCTCCTCTCAGAAGGTGTTCAAATGAATAAAACACATTGATTACATGGGATTATAAAGAAGTCTAATTATGCCAAGACACAGTTATCAAAATATTTTCCTAATATGTGCTTCTTAATGCATTAAATAACAAGTCTTCCTGTCTAATTGCTGCCATAATTTAAAGTAGTGATGAGCATAAACAATGTTTTGAAAAAGCTACAATAATTAATGTGATGAAAATATCTGTGATTTTTTAATTAGTGACAAAGTTCCTATTTTGTTGTCGACATTCGTTGTAGAGTGTTCCATTTCAGTTGGAGGTTGTGAAAATAACAATATCATTTTTCCCATCTAAGTTGCTGGACCCCCTAAATTCTAAGCATCTCCATGTCGGTGAGATGCATGGTCCCCACTGTCCTGGAGCCTCCGTGACTTTGTCATCTCCCTGCTGCAGGGTCAAAGGGGTGTTCTCCAGCGCCCAGGCAGCTGCCCAGAGCTCTAATCCTGATTCCAAGAGCAAAAACGGGAACAGACCGCCCTTGAGGACAGGCGCTGCTGGAGCCAAGAGACTCACAGTCGGTCACCTGATTTGCATTTATATTGAGAAATCACAGCTGGAGGGTACCCTGGCAGATGGGTGAGGCTGAGCCACTCAGGCTCTAGGGAAGCCACGCTGTCCTCACAGTGCCCACCCATTGATCTGTGACACGTGGGCCAAGGGGCGTGGGATTTTGCTGGTCAGCTTCTCTCCCTATTGAAGCCGCATGGGAAGGAAGTGGGCAGAAGACTGCTCGGCAAGCAAGGAGCCAGAGTACTGAATGCAAGGACCTTCACAAAGTGCCTCTTGAGGTGGAAAGACGGAGGCGTTTCTGCGCCGCTGCGTGGCCTCAGCCACGAAACTGTCATTCGGAGACTGCTTGGCCTGGACTCCAGCTCAGGATATGCAGAGTGGGTGCTGCCTGATGCCTCATCTGGGCCTGCCAGGTCTGCGGCAGGAGGGCGGGTAGGATGGGAAGGAGCCCATCCTGGGACAGAGCATGTAAATGCATAGCCACCACTGTCGGGTGCCACACAGGAGTGAAGTCCAGGAGTGAAAAGAAACACTTGAGGGAAAGGAAGAGGGGCGAACAGAGGAGGTGGCACTGGGTGCGGCTTCTCAGGCCCTGGAATGGGTGTCCCACCCTTCAAATAACCTCTCATCTCTACACAAAGACGTTACCCCATTTTACCCCTGGGGAAACTGAGGCTCTGATCAGCTAAGTCATTTGCCTAATTTACCCACACAGTGCCAAGTTAAGCACCCAGGCTGTGACTGTCCTCTTCCTGGTCCGGTGGGGACACGGGGACAGGAGGTGATGGGAAGTGAAATGGGCCTTTGGTCGTAGCCAGGGGAGGGGCAGTGACTCCCGTTGCTAACAGGGAAAGCTGGAGTCGCCTCCGCCCGCCGGCTCATGAGGGCTGGAGGGGAGGAGTCAGGAGACTCAGGGGTGGGAGAGATGGGCTCCACCGCTGCATCCTGCCACCCACCACCTGTGTCACCATGGGATGTCACTGAGCCTGCTCTGTGAAATGGGAACCCTTCTGTTCACCCTGGAAAATCATTGTCAAGATCAGAGAGGAAGCACGAAAAGTGCCTCCTGGCCATGCAGTGGCTCCACCTGCAATCCCAGCACTTGAGGAGGCCAAGGCAGGAGGATTGCTTGAGTCCAGGAGTCTGAGACCAGCCTGGGCAACATAGTGAGACTCCCATCTCTACAAAATAATAATAATAATAAGCTGGGCATGGTGATGCACCCCTGTGGTTGGGCTACTCGGGATGGCTTGAGCCCAGGAGTTTGAGGCTGCAGTGAGCCATAATTGCACCACTGTACTCCAGCCTGGAGCAAGACCCTGTCTCAAAAAAAATTTTTTTTAATTTGCGCTCTGATCTAGGCCAGCCCAGAGCTGCAGCCCCGGCCCATGAGCCTCCCCAGCTTTCCCGGCAGGTCTGTGGGCCGTCCAGAAGGAAAGGGACTGGAGCAGGGGAGCCAATGGGATTTCCACATCTGCCAAGTCTTCAGGGAATGTGGGATGGCACGGGGACCCGGGAAATAAGGGTGGAGGTGTCAGCCCTGCATTTTTACAGCCTAGAAGTGACGTCAGAGACCACCAGAGAGGGGGACGGCAGAGAGAGGGAGGACAGGGGCCTGGAAACACAGATCCACACACAGGCTGGAAAGGACCGAGCAAGACACTGCTGGCTGGGCAGAGGCAGCTGGAAGGAAAGGAAGGAAGGTGCGGGACAAACGAGGCTGCCCCACGGCCCGAGCCAGAGCACAGTGAGCTCTGGGAAGAGGTACCTGGATTTTTGGCAACAAGGAAGTTGGTCCGATGCCAGCAGGTGAGGAGCATCCTCCTCATGTGAGGAACACGGGGCTGGAGCAGGGGAGGACAGGGTGTGTGGCCACTGGTTCAGGTGGGGATGTCTGGGACGGACCTGAGAAGCTGAGGCTGATGGGACAGCGAGGGGACAGAGAACTCTCCGGAAACTTCTGGCTCCGGGGCAGAGGGCCGAGCTAAGGGGTGGCATGGGTAGCCACTGTTTCCCTCCCACTCCCCCAGCCCCCTGCACTGGGGATTTTGAGGCTGTCTGCACTTCATATGTTTGAGAGAAACCCACGATTGTAGAGCTGAAGATGTAGAATTTGGCCCGCAGGTAACTGCACACCAACCAGGACCAGCCCTGCTCATGAGCTTCACTGCGGCACCCATTTCATCACACAAGGGGCCAACCAGAGGCCAATTCAGGAGATGTCAATGTCTGTGTGCCTCCACCCCAAAATTCATAGATTGAAATCCTAACCCCCAAGGCAATGATATTAGGAGGTGGGGTCTTAGGGAGGTGGGCAGGTCATGAGGATGGCCCTGATCCAGTCTGACTGCTGTGCTTATAAGAGATGATGACACAGACCCACACAAAGGGGCGGCCACGTGTGGACGCAGGGAGAAGACAGCCGTCCCACGCCATGGAGAGGCTTCAGGAGCAACCAACCCTGCAGACACCTTGATCCTGGACTTCCGGCATCCGGGGCTGTGCGTTGTGCAAGCCCCCCCGAGCCTGCACTGTTTTGTTCTGGCAGCTCCAAGCTGACTCATACAAGCCCAGAGCCCTCGCAATTCCCACACGCCACATGCATGGCTCAGCTGCACCTCCTGCCAGCTCCAAACCTCACGGCACAGGGTACACACTTGTGTGTCCATATGGTCAGCTTTCAGCACTGGACAGGGCTTCTAAGGTCCCATCCCATGACATGCTCCCCTCACCTGGGTCCTCCTTCCGACACTCCCAACATGTGTTCTGGCATCAGCTGGGGGGCCATGCTTGTGCTGGGAGCTTAGAAGATGAGAGCTAATGTTCACTGGGCACCTGCCATGCTCCAGAAATGATGCCAGCTTCTCATTCAGGGCTCACTTCCACCTTTCAACAGACGGACCAAGTAGGACTTAGAAAGCTTAAGGCATATGTGAGTCATGTCAGAACAGGAATTTGAACCCAGCTCTCAAACTTCAAAGCCCTGTTCTTTGTATGACACTTGTGCTTCTCAAACCTTGCTGCATATTCCAATTACCTTGGGAGTGAAACAACAACAATGCAATCCTGCAGTCCCTGGAGCTAAGGTCAGCTGTGTTTGCAAAGCTCCCCAGAGGCTCAGAAAGTACAGCTGGGTTGGAAACCAAACCAGCGCTTCCCCAACCTCAGTGCACAGCAGAGTCTCCAGGAGAGCTTGTTAAAACCGAGTCCCGGGGCCCAGTCCCCAAGTTCCTGATTCGGCAGGACTGGGGTGGGATTTGAGAATTCATATTTCTTCTCTTTCTTTTCTACTCCTTCTTCTTCTCCTTCTTCATTTTTTTTTCTTTCTTTCTTTCTTTTTGAGATGGAGTTTCCCTCTTGTCCAGGCTGGAGTGCAGTGGTGTGATCTCGGCTCACTGCAACCTCTGCCGCCTAGGTTCAAGTGATTCTCATGCCTCAGCCTCCAGAGTAGCTGGGATTATAGGCACCCACCACCATGCCCAGCTAATTTTTGTATTTTAGTAGAGATGGGGTTTCACCATGTTAGCCAGGCTGGTCTCGAACTCCTGACCACAGGTGATCCATCCGCCTCGGCCTCCCAAAGTGCTGGGATTACAGGCATGAGCCACCATGCCTGCCCTCAT
Organism: Homo sapiens; assembly: GCF_000001405.40. Lineage (NCBI taxonomy): Eukaryota > Metazoa > Chordata > Mammalia > Primates > Hominidae > Homo > Homo sapiens. The sequence continues at coordinate 230,289,878 of NC_000001.11, forward strand.
CTTCATTTTTTTTTAGAGACAGAGTCACCCACACTGGAATGCAGTGGTGTCAATCATAGCTCACTCCAGCCTTGAACTCCCAGGCTTGAGCAATCTACCCACCTCAGCCTCCCGGGTAGCTTGGGACTACAGGCACACAACACCATGCCTGGCTAATTTTTTGTATTTATTGTAGACACTGGGTTTCACTATGTTGCCCAGGGTGGTCTCAAACTCCTAGTCTCAAGTAATCACCCACCTTGGCCTCCCAAAGTGTTGGGATTACAGGCATGAGCCACTGTGCCTGGTGGAAGTTTATAGTTCTAATGACTCCTAGGTGATGCTGATGCTGCTGGCCTGGGAACCACACTTTGAGGAGGCACAAGGCACTTAGTTCAGGCCGTGGCTAGTTTAGACAATAGGGATTGCCCACACTTCATACCAAAGGGTTATTACTGAGTTGCATGGCGGCCTGGAGAAGCGGTAGTGGGTAGGGCTCAGGTTGTGGTTCTGGGGCCGGACTGCTTGGTTCATGGCCTCAGGTCCGCTATTCCTGTGCCCTTGGATGCTTCATGGCTCGGATGTGGACCCTGTTACATGACCTCAGTCTCACCATCTCCGTTCTCTGTGCTCAGCTTCCTCCTCAGTTAAATGGGGAAATGAAATTCACAAAGTTGGCCGGGCGCGGTGGCTCACGCCTGTAATCCCAGCACTTTGGGAGGCCGAGGCGGGTGGATCACGAAGTCAGGAGATCGAGACCATCCTGGCTAACACGGTGAAACCCCATCTCTATTAAAAATACAAAAAAATTAGCCGGGCATGGTAGCAGGTGCCTGTAGTCCCAGCTACTCAGGAGGCTGAGGCAGGAGAATGGCGTGAACCTGGGAGGCGGAGCTTGCAGTGAGCCGAGATCGCGCCACTGCACTCTAGCCTGAGCAACAGAGCAAGACTCTGTCTCAAAAAAAAAAAAAAAGAAAAAAAAGAAAAGAAAAAAGAAAAGAAATTCACAAAGTTAGAGCCTTGGGGTGGTGAGATTCTCTCACTCCCCCTCTACCATGACCTGCTTCGTCAGAAAACCATTCCCCCTTCTGCTGCTTGAAGGGGTTTAATACCATGGATCTGCACCTCGTAGTTTCAATTTGGAATTTTTTAGTTCAGAGGACTTTGAGTGACAGACATTCTAAAAATCAAAGTAGGTAACAAAATGAATAAGGGTTGCAGAGAGTATTCAAATGCAGACAGTGAGAGCTCATGGAGGTGAAGAATCAGGCCTTGATCTGCACAGTTACCCAGAAAGTAGAATCCCTCATGGATGCTGAGCTTGGGGCTGAGGCTGCCAGCTCCCTCTCTGCACTTTAGAAACAGGTCTGCATGTAACCCACCTAAACACAGCCCTCTAACCTCTCTGTTCTTCTTCTCCTGGATGAAAGATTTGGGTGATGAATAAAATGATAGTCTGGGCCACCCTTTTCCACCTCACCTGAAAGGCCAGGAAATAGAACTAAGAAGTGTGTTTAAGGAATCATTTTAGGCCTGGGGCAGTAGCTCACATCTATAATCCCAGCACTTTGGGAGGCTGAGGCGGGAAGATGACTTGAGCCCAGGAGTTGGAGACCAGCCTTGACAACATAGTGAGACCCTGTTGCTACAAAAAATTAAAAAATTAGCCAGGTGTGGTGGTGTGCACCTGTGGTCCCAGCTACTTGGGTGGCTGAGGTGGGAGGATCGCTTGAGCCTAGGAGTTGGAGGCTGCAGTGAGCTGTGACTGTGCCACTGCACTCCAGCCTAAGTGAAAGAGTGAGACCCTGTGTGTAAAAAAAGGAAGAAATCATCTTAGTACAAGTTCTTCCTTTTGAAGAATTTCAGACACTTAATTGCTTTGTTTGTGCTAACTCTTTAAGGAAGCGGCTGGGTATAGGGCCAGCTCCCTGGGGGGAGCGGTGAAGTGGGGAGTGGTGAAGTGGGGAGCAGTGACGGTGAGGGGGAGGGGGGAGCGGTGAGGGAGGGAAGCGGTGTGGGGGGAGCGGTGAGGTGGGGAGCGGTGAAGGAGGGAGCGGTGAGGTGGGGAGCGGTGAGGCGGGGAGCCGTGAATGGGGGACCGGTGAGGGGGCAAGTGGTGAAGCGGGGAGTGGCAGGTCCTCCTCTACGGTGGCTGTTCTCTGCCCCTCACCCTGGGGTGCTGCTCTGCCGCCCGGCTCCTCACACTCTCCCTTGGATTCGAATGACAGCGTGACCTCAGGTCCCCTATTCCTGTGCCCTTGGATGCTCCAAGCAGGTGAGGAAAGGGAGGAAATAGGTTCTTGGGGCTCTAGCCACGTCAGGTGAATAGAATCAGGAAATGTCCACCATGTCCTCTTCCTGCTGCCAGGGATAGCAGGGCTCCTGAGAAGGACACCGCATCCCGGCGAGGCGAGGTCGGAGAGGGGGCCGGGGCACAGCTGCCAGAGTGATGGGCGCTCTTGTCTGTCAAAAGCCCCTTTTCATAATGGCCGTTCTGGGAGAAGAGAAGCTCAGGCTGGCAGCTTGGGTCTCACATACCTGACTGACTGTCATTAATTGCCTCTCGCAGGCTCTTGCCCTCTCCACCTCTCTCTCTTTCCTTCTCCCTCCCTCTCTCTCTCAACCTGCCTCTCTCTTTCCCTCCTCTCTCTCTCTCAACCTGCCTCTCTCTTTCCCTCCTCTCTCTCTCTCAACCTCTCTTTCCTGCTCCCTCTCTCTTTCCCTCTCCCTCTCTCTCTTTCTCCCTCCCTCCCTCTCTCTCTCAACCTGCCTCTCTCTTTCCCTTCCTCTCTCTCCTTCTCTTGCTCTAAAAATTCAGATGTTTTCTCCCCAAACACATTTTTTCTTTGTTTGTTTTTGTTTTTGTTTTAATTTTAGCCAAGTTAGTCCCAGAGGCAGCAAATCCAAATCGTGAGGCCGTCTCAGGGGTGCATTATTCTAGGGAGGGCCTCTCTGACGTGTCCATGGGAGACACCCTTAGAGCAAGGAGCGGATGGGAAAGCTCATGGACACAGCCTGCATGTCAGCGGCCTTTCCAAGAGCTGTTGCCTGGGCAATGAAATGGAGAGATTTTGAAAAGCCTCTCTCAGCGTGTCCACACCTGTCCTGCTAGCACGCCACCTGTGGTGTTATTAAAATCACTTGTCCTGTGGCGGCTGCTGCTACAATATGTGTCTCCCAGAGGGGAGAGCCACAGTTCATTAACCTGATTATTAAGCTTCATTAACTTGACTCATCCACTACTAACTAACCCTGCACTGCCCTGAGAATCAGATGATGGCCTCACAGGCAGCAAGAGAAGGCAGAGACCCAGAGAGCCAGATGCACCCGTGTCCGTGTGTGGATCAGGCAGCATGCTCTAGTGGAAGGCACCTGTGCTCCCGATGCCTGGCTGGACTCTTCGGGTGGGTCACACTGCCATCCTGGAGATGAAGAGCCCCCTCCAATAAGCTTGTCAATGCTTTTCCCTGAGAGCTTTGTATGAAGGCATCCTCCTGTTAGGAAAACACACAGATGTTCACTGCCCTCAGGATTAAACCACGTGCACGCTGGCATCCAGGCTGGGACACACTGGCATTCAGCCTGGGAGGCTCTGAGCACCCAGGACGTGGGATTTGAGGCAGAGGAGTCAGTGAACAGGGGGAACCAGCAGATGGGCATCAGTGAGCAGCTGAACGCAGCTGGAGAGAAAGGAGAAGCTAAGCCCGAGAATGGACGCCAGCCCCATCACCCTCTCGGCCTGAGGATGCTGGATTTGCTGTGGTGCTGTCATTGTGGAAGGAGACAGATCCCAGGAACTTTCATACCAGGAGGCCTGTGTCAACCTGCCTCTCTCCTCCTTCTGCAGGGACTATGCTGGCCTCTTCAAAGTCTAGGTCTTTCCAACCATCGTTTGTGGAAAGACTTTATGGCAAGGAGCACGCAAGAGGCAGCAGACAGGGACGTCATTCATGTGAGAATCTGTAGTGTCTCCCCATGGGAAAGCCTGCTCTTTGGAGAGGGCAGGATGACCATAGAATTGCTCAGACTCGGTGGCCTGGCAGGTGCTGTGAGCAAACAGGTAAACAGCTTCAGGACAGGAGCCTTCAATCCCTTATCCTGCTCCCAAGCATTCGGGGAGAGGGGCCCTAGAGAGAGACTGGAAAGGGTACAATGTGCTCAAGGAATGAAATGGCTTGTGGAGGGCTGCCCAGAGATGGTGGGTCCAGTTCAAATCAGTTCTGCCTCTGTTCATAATCCCACCCACACCAGGCATCAGCCGGAGCTGACCTGCAGGCCAGAAAGAAAGAAGGGGCCAGAAAGTTTAGTTCCATAAGGGCCAGATGGCCTGAGCAATGCCCATCAGTCAGACTTGTCTTGGGGATTGCTAAGATACAACTGTGCTGAAAGTGTTATACTTTTAGTAAAAAAAATACATTCTGAGGCTGGGCGCGGTGGCTCATGCCTGTCCTCCCAGCGACTCAGGAGGCCAAGGCAAGAGGATCACTTGAGGCCAGGAGTTCAAGACCAGCTTGGGCAACACAAGACCTCATCTCTACAAAAATAAGCAAACAAATAGATACACTTTGATACAGTTGATACAATAATATCAACTGACACTTGGATAGTATTAGGTTGGTGCAAAAGTTATTGGGGTTTTTGCCATTATGTTTAATAACTTTTGCACCAACCTATATTTATAGTAGACTGAATAATTGCCACGCAAAGATGTTAGGTCCCAATCTCTCATATAGAGCCATGAGCCCATTGGGTGGAGCCCAAGCCATAGACGGTTATCACCAGCCCCGAGCCCTAATGGAACGTGCCCTAATGGAACTCCTGCCCTGCTGGAGTCCTTCATTGCGTGAGACTCATGACTCCTTTCTTCCTTTCACTGTTCCCTTTTGGAATGGGAGAGTCTATCATTGTTTCGCTGTTATACCACACCTGTTATACCACATTGCTTTTGGAATAAATTGATTTTCTAGTTTCACAGGTCCAGAGATAGGAAGGAATTTTTTTCCAGGATGAATCAGATCCAGAGTCTAACCCATATCTTAATCAGATGCTGTGATTTGGAATTTCTGAGTTAATGAGATTTAGATGAGATTTTGGACATGAGTTGATTGTAGTGGATTGAGACTTTTGGGAACATTGAAATGGGGTAAATATATTTTGCATGTGGAACAGACATGAATCTTTGGAGACCCAAGGGAGGACTCTGGTAGGCTGAATAATGGCCTGACCAAAGATATTAAGGTCTGTTATCCAAAAGGCCATCAGAATGGCTCACTAGTAGGAAGGAGAGCTATATTGGTAGCATCAGCTTGCAAACTGGGAAGAGATCATCTCCAGTGTGGACTGAAGGTGCGCTCTTCAGAGGGGAACGGAGAGGCTGGGTTTTATGCCTAACGAGGTCTGCATTACCCCAAAAAACAATACATATTCAGCAGGTTTGGGGGAGACGCTATGCATGTTTATGAGGGGAGTTGAGCACATGTGCAATGGGTAACCATATATATAACATACATCCCATGCTCATTTTGGGGCAAGGTTTTAGCATTAAAATGAGGTGGCATTTGGCTCAAGTCAGAAGGTGAACTATATGACACAAAGTTTGTGCGCAGCCTCTATAAGCTGCTGAAACTGGCTTCAAGTCTGCAGGTGTTTATCAGAAAAGAACATTTGTAAGGCTGGTCCTCTGTCCAACAGAGTTGTTGTGGTCTGGGGTATAAAGCCGAGTGAGGCAGGATCTGATCATTTGCCTGATAGCTTCTATTGTTAGGGAGTTTTGCAAGACAGTGGTTTTCCTTGCAGCCATAAGAATTTAGAAATTTTCCATGCCAGCTGGGCCCCGAACCCTCAACTCCTAGGTACCTTTTGTTTCTTTAACCTCAGGGTCTGTCTTAGTTGATAAAGGGGTGTCTATTTTGGTTTCTCAGATCACAGGTCCTAATTTCTAGAGCCTTAAATGTTATCTTATAAGGAAAAATATTCTTTGCAATTATTATTAAGTATCTTGACATGGAGAGATGATCCTGGATTATTCAAATGGGCTCTCAATCCAACCATAAGTGTCCCTATAAAAGAGAGACAGGCTGGGCACTGTGGCTCCCACCTGTCACTCCCAGCACTCTGGAAGGCTGAGGAAGGAAGATCACTTGAGCCCAGGAGTTCGAGACCAGCCTATCCAACACAGTGAGGTTCCTTCTCTACAAAAAAATTAAAAATTAAAAAATGAGCCAGGTGTGGTGGCACATTCCTGTAGTACCTACTACTCAGGAGGCTGAGGCAGGAGGATCACTTGAGACCAGGAGGTTGAGGCTGCAATGAGCCACGTTTGAACCATTGCCCTCCAGCCTGGGCAACAGAGCAAGACCCTGCCTCAAAAAGAGAAAGACAGAGGGAGATTTTACACACAGAGAAGAGAAGGGAATGTGAAGATGGCGGCATAGATTGGAGAGATACGTCTGCAAGCTAAGGAACACCAGGAAACGCCGGCAGCCCCTGGGAGTGAGAAAAGGTGAAGAACAGATTCTCCCTGAGTCTCTGTAGGGAGTGCAGCCTCAGAAGCCTGGCCTCCAAAATTGTGAACATTTCTGTATTGGTTGTCTCTTATGGGTTATTGTTGGTTATTGTCTCTTATGGGTTATTGTTGTCTTATATGGGTTGTTGGCACCCAGCAAGCACCCAGGCCCTTCCAGCCACTCTTGGCAGTCGGTCATTTCTTTCCATAAAAGATAAAGAACGCTTCACATCCCTTGTAAGTTGGATTCCTAGGTATTTTATTCTCTTTGAAGCAATTGTGAATGGGAGTTCACTCATGATTTGGCTCTCTGTTTGTCTGTTATTGGTGTATAAGAATGCTTGTGATTTGTGTACATTGATTTTGTATCCTGAGACTTTGCTGAAGTTGCTTATCAGCTTAAGGAGATTTTGGGCTGAGACAATGGGGTTTTCTAGATATACAATCATGTCGTCTGCAAACAGGGACAATTTGACTTCCTCTTTTCCTAATTGAATACCCTTTATTTCCTTCTCCTGCCTAATTGCCCTGGCCAGAACTTCCAACACTATGTTGAATAGGAGTGGTGAGAGAGGGCATCCCTGTCTTGTGCCAGTTTTCAAAGGGAATGCTTCCAGTTTTTGCCCATTCAGTATGATATTGGGTGTGGGTTTGTCATAAATAGCTCTTATTATTTTGAGATACGTCCCATCAATACCTAATTTATTGAGAGTTTTTAGCATGAAGGGTTGTTGAATTTTGTCAAAGGCCTTTTCTGCATCTGTTGAGATAATCGTGTGGTTTTTGTCTTTGGTTCTGTTTATATGCTGGATTACATTTATTGATTTGCGTATATTGAACCAGCCTTGCATCCCAGGGATGAAGCCCACTTGATCATGGTGGGTAAGCTTTTTGATGTGCTGCTGGATTCTGTTTGCCAGTATTTTATTGAGGATTTTTGCATCAATGTTCATCAAGGATATTGGTCTAAAATTCTCTTTTTTTGGTTGTGTCTCTGCCCGGCTTTGGTATCAGGATTATGCTGGCCTCATAAAATGAGTTAGGGAGGATTCCCTCTTTTTCTATTGATTGGAATAGTTTCAGAAGGAGAACTACAAACCACTGCTCAATGAAATAAAAGAGGATACAAACAAATGGAAGAACATTCCATGCTCATGGGTAGGAAGAATCAATATCGTGAAAATAGCCATACTGCCCAAGGTAATTTATAGATTCAATGCCATCCCCATCAAGCTGCCAATGACTTTCTTCACAGAATTGGAAAAAAACTACTTTAAAGTTCATATGGAACCAAAAAAGTTGGCCGCATCGCCAAGTCAACCCTAAGCCAAAAGAACAAAGCTGGAGACATCACACTACCTGACTTCAAACTATACTACAAGGCTACAGTAACAAAAACAGCATGGTACTGGTACCAAAACAGAGATATAGATCAATGGAGCAGAACAGAGCCCTCAGAAATAATGCCGCATATCTACAACTATCTGATCTTTGACAACCCTGAGAAAAACAAGCAATGGGGAAAGGATTCCCTATTTAATAAATGGTGCTGGGAAAACTGGCTAGCCATATGTAGAAAGCTGAAACTGGATCCCTTCCTTACACCTTACACAAAAATTAATTCAAGATGGATTAAAGACTTAAACGTTAGACCTAAAACCATAAAAACCCTAGAAGAAAACCTAGGCATTACCATTCAGGACATAGGCATGGGCAAGGACTTCATGTCTAAAACACCAAAAGCAATGGCAACAAAAGCCAAAATTGACAAATGGGATCTAATTAAACTAAAGAGCTTCTGCACAGCAAAAGAAACTACCATCAGAGTGAACAGGCAACCTACAAAATGGGAAAAATTTTCGCAACCTACTCATCTGACAAAGGGCTAATATCCAGAATCTACAATGAACTCAAACAAATTTACAAGAAAAAACAAACAACCCCATCAAAAAGTGGGTGAAGGATATGAACAGACACTTCTCAAAAGAAGACATTTATGAAGCCAAAAGACACATGAAAAAATGCTCATCATCACTGGCCATCAGAGAAATGCAAATCAAAACCACAATGAGATACCATCTCACACCAGTTAGAATAGCAATCATTAAAAAGTCAGGAAACAACAGGTGCTGGAGAGGATGTGGAGAAATAGGAACACTTTTACACTGTTGGTGGGACTGTAAACGAGTTCAACCATTGTGGAAGTCAGTGTGGCGATTCCTCAGGGATCTAGAACTAGAAATACCATTTGACCCAGCCATCCCATTACTGGGTATATATCCAAAGGACTATAAATCATGCTGCTATAAAGACACATGCACACGTATGTTTATTGCGGCACTACTCACAATAGCAAAGACTTGGAACCAACCCAAATGTCCAACAATGATAGACTGGATTAAGAAAATGTTGCACATATACACCATGGAATACTATGCAGCCATAAAAAACGATGAGTTCACGTCCTTTGTAGGGACATGGATGAAATTGGAAATCAACATTCTCAGTAAACTATCTCAAGGACAAAAAACCAAACACCACATGTTCTCACTCATAGGTGGGAATTGAACAGTGAGAACACATGGACACAGGAAGGGGAACATCACACTCTGGGGACTGTTGTGGGGTGGGGGGAGCGGGGAGGGATAGCATTAGGAGATATACCTAATGCTAAATGACGAGTTAATGGGTGCAGCACCCCAGCATGGCACATGTATACATATGTAACTAACCTGCACATTGTGCACATGTACCCTAAAACTTAAAGTATAATAATAATTAAAAAAAAAAAGATAAAGAACCCAGGGCTCAAGGGGAACCCACGATTGCTCAAGATCATCGTCAATAACAGAGCTTGGTGGAAATTCACAAGTACTGACTCCACGGCCAGAGATCGTCTCTCCACTGGAGAGCGACTTCCTCCCTCTGGGTATGTGGCCTGTCAGTTTGACAACCAGGCCCTGCCTCCACTCCTTTAAATGCAGGGTCAGCCTGAGGGAGGGAAGAGGCAGAAAAAGGGCCCAGAGGTGCCAGATCTTCCTACAGTGGCCCTGTGCCAGGCCGTTCACCCAGAGGGAGGGTCTGCCTTCCATGTGCATCCCAACTGTCCTTTCTTTCTGTGTCTCCACCCTGGCTGTGAGGCTCTTCCCAGCAGACAGATCACAATGGACCTGTCCCTGTTATGATCCTTTGTTTGGTGACAGATAAACTGGGCAAAGTCTAAAGGCTGCCCCTGAGACAGTACTCACGATTACAATGATTTTTCCAGCCGCGTCATCCTTTTAAACTTTCATTTGACTTCCTGTTCCTCACGAGCACAGGGAGAAATGAGGGCTCCGTTCCTTGAACCAGAAACACAAAAGGGAGTTCTCCAAGCTGATCTGTGCCTGTGCATTTGGCAAGGACAAAAGCAGATGCTCTGATGTGACTGTTTCCTGGTTCTTCCTCTTTGCATTGAAACCTGCTCTCTCCGCTCTTCGGCAAATTCGCCCCGAGGAAGTAAGGTGCTGGGCACCTGTCACCACTGTATTGACTTGAAACTCCTGAATGTGCCCACTGCCCTCAGAATCCCTCCGGGGCCTGAAATCACCTCCATATTGATTTCTTGTTGCTGCTGTAACAAATGACCTCCAACTTGGTGGCTGCAACAACACAAATGTAGTACCTTACAGCTCTGGAGGTCAGAAGTCTGACACGGCCTCCCTGGGCGAAAGTAAAGGTGTCTGTAGGGCTGCAGTCCTTTCTGGAGGCTCTGAGGGAGGATTCCACTTCACACTGTGCCCAGCTTTTAGAGGTGTCCATGCCCCTTGGCTTACATCCCCCCATCCATCATCAAAGCCAGCAACGTTGCACCTCCTGCGTTCTTCACAGCCGTGTCTCCGCTGTAAACACAGCTGGGAAAGGTTCTCACTCACAAGGACCCTTGTGATGACACTGCACCCACAGGATATTCCAGGGTCCTCTCCCTGCCTCACAGACAGCTGATTGCAACCTGAACTCCTCTGCTACCTGAATTCCTGTTTGCTGTGAAAAGTAACATAGGCTTAGGTCCTGGGGATTAGGAGGTGAGCCTCTTTGTTTCGGGGTCGGGGCTCCTCGTTCTGCCCACCACACCTCCCATTAAGGCTTGCCATCATGATGGGCCATTACTGAAATGAGGGTGTTACCTGGGCAGTCGGGGTTTAAGGCCATCCCCACCACTGCGCACCAGCCCGCTGATCATGAGCACGGTGCTGGTCATAGTTTTTGAGACAGGGAGGTCCTAGAAGGCTCCAACAGCAGGAAAGGTAGGTTTCTCTAGCACTCATGGGTGGATGCCTTAGAAATAAGAGAGAAACAAACAGCCTCTGGGCCTTGAGAGGTTTAGATTTCCCATTTGAAGCAGAGGTGGTGTGGAGGGGAGGGCCGGGGCCAGCACCTGTTCAGAAAATGCATTCCCCAGAGATGGAAGCAGGTGACAGTGTTCTCACATTAGTTGTGCTGAGAGAAAAAGTCCTTCGTTCAGCTGCGCCCAAGGCTTTATTCACAGACTCCCGTCTCTCCCAGGGGTGCTGGAAAGACCTTGGGGACCTCCTCACCCTTCTTGCTGGAAGATGCCCGTACCGCAGCGCACGAGACCCCAGCTTTTCCGGGGCGGCTGCACTGTCAACTCAATGCCTAGCAAGGATGCGTCCGGCTGGGCATAAAGACAGCCCGGCCCGCTAAGCAGAGAAAGCTTCCCCTTCACCACCAGGCTGCTGACAGGTGTGAGTGGGGCAGGGCAGGGAGGAATCACTGAGGCACACCCAGGAAGCCTGACGAGAGGGGCCAAGCTCTGTCCGGACGTGGTGGCTGAGCACCCTGCAGAGGCTCAGTGGCCCTGGCAGCCCCTCGCCTGCTCTCTGGAGGCCTTTGCTCTCTAGTCCCCTCCCTTGAACTCTGAACTTCCACGGGTGAGGGGGGTGATAGAATAATGGCTTTATTTTCCCAGTCTGAAAAAAATAATATAGAAGAAATAACAGCTGGGCCTTCCTCTGCATGGAGTTTCCGCTCCCACGAGCATGTCCGTGTTTAGCATCGGCAGCCACCTGGCCATGCTGGACTCGGTGTGGCTGTGTCTGCAGTCGCATAGACATTTATGGTATTTCCAGTGGCCTGTCAACAGTGCCTGGTGTTCTCTAACAAGTGCTGTGGACTCCAAGGGCCTGACCACCTGCAGGGCTTGAGAACCACAGTTCAAGCAAGGTGAGACAGGGTCGGCAAGGCTGGCCTTGGCGTCTCCACAGGTCAGTTGGTCCTCAGCCAGGCATGCCACCCTGTGGGCTTTGGGGCTGCTTTCCCTCTGGAGTCTAACTCAAAGCCTTTTTTTTTTTTTTTTTTTGAGATAGAGTCTCGCTCTGTCACCCAGGCTGGAGTGCAATGGTGCGATCTCTGCTCAATGCAACCTCTGCCTCCTGGGTTCAAGCGATTCTCCTGCCTCTGTCTCCTGAGTAGCTGAGATTACAGGCACCCGCCACCACACCCTTTTGTATTTTTGGTAGAGGCCAGGGTTTCACCATGTTGGCAGGCTGGTCTTGAACTCCTGACCTCAAGTGATCTGCCTGCCTCAGCCTCCCAAAGTGCTGGGATTACAGGCATGAGTCACCACGCCCAGCCTGGAAGCCTCTAAATGAGCCAGGTGTCCCTGTGTCTTTGAGAGCACTGAGGGCTGGGCTCCAGTGGGCAGGGCAGCCCATCCGCGATGTCAGCACATGGATCTCTGGCTCCTTGTTAGACAGGAGCTCTGTACAGTAGAGTGGCGGGAAGGTCACAGAGCCCTCTCTCTCTACAAGGTCTCTGAGTAAAAAGTGCCTGAAGTGTCCACCTCCAGCACCGCAGCATGCTGGAATTGCCGGCTGTCTCTCGAGTTTCCTTTTAGAACCTTCTCTAGAGCTCTGCGATTCACAGAATGGATTCACAGCTGCTAGAGTGGTAAAACCCATTGCAGATTGTTCAGACGATTAGAAAAAATTCTCTTGTATGGAGCCCAAATTTGCCTCTAATTCTGACCCCTGAGCTATATTGAATTAGTTCAGTCTTCTTCTCATGGCAGGTTCAAATCTTTAAAGCTGATTGGAGACCTCAGCAAGGCCCTTCCAGTTTCCCCACTTCTTTATGGAAGCTTCTTCCCAGTTGGGATGCACCTGAGACAGCCCCTCCTCTAGATCCGGCCTTCTTTACTCACTCCTCCTACAAATCAACTCAGGGGGGGCCATACTTTGAGCTCTGTGCTCTCTCAATTCAAATTGCACTTTTAAGAAGTGACAACAATGACCTCTGAATTTCACGTTGCCTTGTGTATTTTCTAAGTGGTTCCATAGAATGAAAGCAGGTTTTTCCAGGTTGGCTAAAATCTACCTGCAGCCACATCTTAGCCATGTGGTATAATAACTAAAAGTATGGGCCATGGAATCAGGCTGCTTGAATTCACATCCTGGCTTGATCACTTACGAGCTATGTGTTTTTGAGCAAGTTACTTAACCTCTCTGTGCTTCAGTTTTCCATCTGCCAATTAGTGATAATAAGAGTGCCTACCTCAAAGCGTTGTTGTTAGGATTAAATATTTTTAATCCTAAATTAATGTGTGTTAAAGCCTTTAGTAGAATGTGTGGTTCTTAAAAAGTGGCATTAAAACGATGTCAGCTGTTGTTATCCTTAAGCTTCTCTGCAACCCCAGAGTACCCAGAACTGTGTTGAGGACCCACTGTCTCCCAATCAGTAATCATTAACGGGTCCAGATACTGTAGCACCATATGAAAGCACCCGGGTGTCTTAATACAGTATCTAGTCTCAACTTTCATCCTAAGGATGGTGAGTCTGGGGTCACAGTAGACCTCACCATCCATCAAGTTGGCCATCACTTCCTTTGAGGGCAGCCCCTCGAAAACACACGGACAGCTCACCATCTGGTGGACAGATTCACAGCTGCTGGAGTGGTAAAGCTCATTGCAGATTGTTCAGACCATTAGACAAAATTTCCTTGTATGGAGCCCAAATCTGCCTCTAATTCTGACCACTAAACTGTACATCGAATTAGTCCAAGTCCTCTCCTCATGGCAGGTTCGAATCTTTGACACTAAGGAACTCTTCTAAAAGCCCTCGGTGGTGCTCTAAGTGACAAGGCAAGACGAAGTGACTTAAATAAGAGTAAAGGACACTGTGCCACTCTGGAAGTGAGGGACTCAGCTTCTGACCCCAGCCTGCACAGACTCCCCAAGGCCTGGGAATTGCCCTTTCTTAACTCTTTCCTACAAAATAGATCCTAATTTATGAGTTTCCCCCTCTCTTCCTCAGTGAGTCCAGACCCGGCACTGGCCTTCTCATGCCTGGTGGGGGCAGGTTGGCTTTTCTGCAGCCACACTTGCCTCTGTTCCATACTTTCTCCACCTAAGAGTTAAAGTAAGGTTTGTTTGTTTCAGGTGGGGTCTTGCTATGTAGCCCGGGCTGGCCTTGAACTCCTGGGCTCAAGTGATCTTCCCGAGTAGCTCAGACTACAGGGATGCACCCTGCACCAGGCTTAAAGTGAGTTTTTGAAAAGAGATCTCACATGAAAAGATGCTTGACATCATTAGTCATCAGAGAGGCGCAAATTGAAACCACAGTGAGACACCACTTCATACCCACTCAGAATCAAAGGGACAATAACAACTGTTGGCGAAGATGAGGAGCAATTGGAACCCTCATTCATTGCTGGTGAGATTGTGAAACGGTGCATCCGCTTTGGAAAACAATCTGGCAGTTCCTCAAAAGATTAGCTGTGGAGTCACCACATGACCCAGAGATTCCACTCCCTGGCCGTCTCCCAAGAGAAATGAAAATATATTAAATCCACACAAAAACTTGTACACAAATCCCATAGCAGCACTATTTGTGATAGCCAAAATGTGAAAATCAACCAAATGTTTATCAACTGATGATGGGTGGATAAATAAAATGTGATGTATGCCTACCTGGGAATATTATTCAGCCACAAGATTGAAGTACTGATGCACGCCACAGCATGGAAGAATCTAAGCAAAAGTAGCCAGCCACGAAAGGCCACATGTTATACAATATCACGTATATGAAATGTCCAGGATAAGCAAATCCGCAGGGACAGAAAGTGGATGAGCTGTTCCCAAGGGTTAGAGGGCGAGGGAATGAGGGGTGAGGAGTGGCTGTTGACGGGGATTATTTGGGGAATAAAAAAGATGTTCTAAGATTAGATTATGGTGATGATTACACAACCTCATAAATATACTAAAAACCACTGAACCTTACGCTTCAAATGGGTAGGCTTTTTGGTTCCTAAATCATATCTCAATAAAGCTATTATGTAAAAGTGAATTTTTAAGCTATTTTTTATTTTACAGTTTATATGTTTGATAGTACAATTTACATAATTTATCATGCATGTTTATATCTTAATAAAAAAAAGAAAGAAGAACATATTGGGCCAGGCTATTAAGGAGTAGCATAAGGGAGTTTCTTTGGGGAGATAGGACAGTTTCACGTCCTGACTGAGGTGGTGATTACTGGAGTCTACAAGTGTGATTAAATGTCATATATCTATACACCAAGAGGAAGGGACGGAGTCACTTGAACCCGGGAGGCGGAGGTTGCAGTGAGCTGAGATTGTGCCACTGCACTCCAGCCTGGAGACAGAGAGAGACTCCATCTAAAAAAAAAAAAAAAAAAAAAAAGCCAGACATTCTAAAAGCTTATCAATGGGGGAATAATTTTGTTATCTTTGTACATATATACTATGGCATATATTACATCATTTAAAAATAGCGTAGACACATGTAAATAAAGATCAATGATAAGAGAAAAAGTGACAAATATGTATAATCTGATCCAATTAATGTTTTTAAAAAAGAAAAAGGCTGCATGTATGTAAAAAGGCCTAGAAAGAGCTCTGAATAAATTTATTTTGTATTGCTATAAAGGAATATCGGACACTGGGTAATTTATCAGTAAAAGAGGTTTATTTGGCTCACAGTTCTGCAGGCTGCAGAGAAGCATGGCACCAGCATCTGCTTCTGCTGAGGGTCTCAGGGAGCTTCCAATCATGGTGGGAGGGGAAGGGGAGCTGTCATGTCATATGGCAAGAGAAAGGGAGCAAGAGAGAAAGGGGAGGACATGCCAGTCTCTCTTTATTTTATTTACTTGTTTTTGAAATGGAGTCTCACTCTTTCACCCAGGCTGGGGTGCAGTGGCGTGAACTTGGTCCAGTGCAACCCCTGTCCGCCTCCCAGGTTTAAGAGATTCTCAGGTCTTGGCATCCCAAGTAGCTGGGATCACAGGCACCCACCAAGAAGCCCAGCTTATTTTTGTATTTTTAGTAGAGATAGGGTTTCACCATGTTGGCCAGGCTGGTCTTGAACTCTTGACCTCAAGTGATCCACCTGGCTGGGTCTCCCAAAGTGCTGGGATTGCAGGCATGAGCTGCCAAGCCTGGCCCCAAGCTCTTGTTTTTTGAGACAGAGTCTCGCTCAGTCACCCAGGCTGGAGTGCAGTGGTGCAATCTTGGCTCACTGCAACCTCTGCCTCCTGGGTTCAAGCGATTCTTGTGCCTCAGTCTCTTGAGTAGCTGGGATCACAGGCACCTGCCACCAAGCCCAGCTAATTTTTGTATTTTTAGTAGAGATGGGGTTTCATGATGTTGACCAGGCTGGTCTTGAACTCCTGACCTCAAGTGATCCTCCTGCCTCAGTCTCCCAAAGTGCTGGGATTACAGGCATGAGCCACCGTACCTGGCTTCAGGCTCTTTTTAAACAACCAAACCTAAAGGTAACTAACAGAATGAGAGCTCATTTATTGCGATGGGGATGGCACCAAGCCATTCATAAGGGATCCACCCCATGATCCAAGCACCTCTCATTAGACCCCACCTCCAACACTGGGGATCACATTTCAACATGAGATTTGGAGGTGACAAATATCCAAACTGTACCAAGCTCTGAAAGTAAAACTAAATTGATGCACAGTGCTTACCTCTCCTAGACTCAGAGGGCGGAAGTCAATGCCCTCTCGTGGTGGGGGTGGAGGAGGGAAGGAAGACATGTGAAGGTCAATTTCATCATTTTATGAAAAGCATGAATACTAACGAGAATTTCTTATGATGACATGTCCAAGTATCTTTTGCTATTTTTTTTTTTTTTTTTTTGAGATGGAGTCTTGCTCTGTCACCCAGGCTGGAGTGCAGTGGCATGATCTCGCTCACTGCAAGCTCTGCCTCCCAGGTTTACACCATTCTCCTGCCTCAGCCTCCCCAGTAGCTGGGACTACAGGCGCCTGCCACCATGCCCGGCTAATTTTTTGTATTTTTAGTAGAGATGGGGTTTCGCCATGTTAGCCAGGATGGTCTCAATCTCCTGACCTCGTGATCCGCCCGCCTCGGCCCCCAAAGTGCTGGGATTACAGACGTGAGCCACTGTGCCTGGCCTTGGTAATTTAAAAAAAAACAAAAAACAAAACAAAACAAAAAAACAGGTTGTGCCAACAGCAAAATGGGAAAGGCAAGGATGTTTATTGACAGTCATCTACAATGACGGGAGTTTCACTCGTTGGTATCACGGGGACGACATCAAAAGCATCTGTAAGTAGAGTTGATACAGCCTTCCAAGGGTGTATCCCCAAACCTCACCTCTAGCCCAACGTGAAGCATCACAAACAAGTCAATGCTTTTACAGTAAACATCCCTTAGTTTACTGAGAAAGAAAAATTTAAAGTCTGGGGCAAGGACACTTAAGCTTAAACAGTTGCAGGTTGATGGAACCTTTGTAACTGATGAAATCTATGGACTTCTTGCCAGAAAGAAAAAGAAAGTCACATATACATACACAAAACAATATTTTCCTTACAAGTGGAGCCCTGAATTCCTGCCCTACAGAAGAAATAATGATTTTCCTGCCCATGAGGCCCTTCAGCACTGGGGCTTAATCCACTTTTTTGACTCGTATCCAACTACTCCCCCCACCACCCAACCCCATTCATTCATTGGCTCCCTCCCAACACCTTAGCTCACTCCCTGTCTATGTCGAAGGCCTTCCCTCCCTCCACTTTCCTGGCTGGCTCAGCTTCCCTCAAGTCCTAGTTGTCTTCTGGTCACCCCCCTGGAACTCACCGCAGCACACTCTAGCCAATCATTTCTGCCTCTGCCTGGGTCTTACTGGTCACGGCATGCTGGCATTCAGGAAATAGTTAAAGCTGCTTCTTCCTTGAATGACTAACCAGGTGAATGAAAATGAATGACAGCAAGCAACTAATTGTCATTAAACAGTTAATAGAAGAAAGTTCATCTATGTTACCTTTGGGGATAGTTTTAAATAAGAGAGGCTTAGAGAGTGAAAGCAGAGAGGATCTAAGGTTGGGGCAGTGGTGGTAAGTGTCTCTTTTGGGTAGAGAGGATGCTCAGGGTCCTTCAGATCCCATCAGGGGAAGCAGTGCCTGCTGCCTGGGGTTCCTTCCAGCAGGCACTTGATCACAATGTCAATCAAGTCTACTGTCTGCAGGAGCAAAGGAAGAATCCATTATTTGTAACTCACCCCTCCTGTGGGAGCCAATCCTCAGATAATGCAGAAGCCCTGAGGGGTCCCTCTATCTGGGCTGCTATTTCTTGGCAAGATTCACCTGGACCATTCTGGAAAGAATGCTGTTTGCCCTCGTACCAAAAAAACATTCAGAAAGAAAGATGCACCATCCTCCCTGCAAAGTCCTCTTGGGCTAACCACCCTGGGGCCTGTTCCTCGCTCTGTCTGCCTGGCGTTTAGACCTGTGCAAAGGCAGAAGAACCTTGTGATTTACTTGCAAGAGCCAAGCAGTGACTGGAGGAGTCTAACATCCTGCTCAGTGGCCAGCTGCCAGGTGGCCAGCAGCCAGGTCGTGTTTCCTGATGTCCACTCCCTATTGTGGTACAGTCTTAGTCATCACACCTAGTCAAAGCCTTCTGGTCTGACTTGGAGGCAGTGCCTCCTGGATAATCACTCGGACGCAGACAGTCAGCTTTGGGCCCGCTGGGTGTGCTGTACCCCTCTCCCGAATATCTAGCGAATTCTCAGCTCCTACTCTTGAACCAGGAGATTTGCAGGCATTAGTGAATCACTAAGTAGCAAGTGTTCCTTATTACCAAAAGGAAGGATGGACCCTCCACAAAGAGGGGCAGCTGGTGGCACACACAGATTTAAGAGGAGAGGGATTTCTTAAGGTTTAAGTGATCTTGAACCCTGCAGGGCTAGGGGTGGGGAGGCGGGAGGAAGGAGGGATCCAGGACTGGCTCCCGAAATCTACTCTGCACCTCCCAGCAATCCCAGGCCCTAGAGGAGGTGCTTTCAGTGAGGACTCTAGTACCTGGGTACTCCAGTTCCTGATGTCTCACAAGGACCCTGGGAAGAAAGCTAGGCAGGTATTCTTAGGCCCACTGTATAGCAGGGGAAATGAGGCCCAGAAAGGCTGTTGACTCCTTTAGGGTGCAGAGCATGTGCGGTGAGGCTGAACCTGAACTCAGGGCTACAGATGCAGTCTTGAGCGTGCCACCTGCACGCCCAGGTCGTCCAGGTATCAAAAGGCAAGTGCGAAACCCTCGGGGCACCACGAAACACTGGGAGTCAGCACTGTGGCTTGACAAGGCCCCAGGCCGCCTGTGCTCCGTGCCCCATGGTTTCTTGGGCATGGCCAGAGTCACCAGAAGCGGTGCGGGTCCTCGGAGAGCCCTGCAGCCCCCAGCCCGGCTTTGCTTCTCGCCATCTCACAGCAGTCTGTGGGTGCCGCCAGTCTCCCGCACATGCCACCACATTGGCCAAGGAAAGGCTCGCAAGTGAGACATGAATTCCCCAATTAAGCTTGCTGGAATTGTGCCCCAAAATAAAGAAATTAATTAAAGTCTTTTTGCCAGCATCAACTGGGCCGGAGGTGGGCTTGGACGCCCCATCTTGGAGCTCACGCCTCCTTCTGAGAGCGCATCCTTAGCTCCCTGGCATCTTGTGCATTGGAGGCAATAAAGGTCCAAGGCAGGGAAGACCTCAGAAGCTTGGGTGGCTCCACTGTGTCCCTGCTGCCTGTTGGTGACCCACAGCGTCCTATGGGTCAGGGGAAGGCTAAGCTGTCCCGGGTCAGGAGGCACAACCTCCTTACCACCTTGACTGTGTCCCTGCAAGTTAACCAATGACACAGAACAATCCAGATGTTTGTTGGGTGTAGTGGCGGGAAGAGCCATTTGCTCCTAGATATTTTCCAAAAGAGAGACGAGTCACGTGGTCTGGGAGACGGTGTGATGCTGAGGAAACATGGGAGTTTTGGGTTCAAATACTTCTGGGTTCAAATCCTGACCGTCCTTTACTTAGGGAGGCGTGAGCGTGTTTGAGCGTCACTATTCTCATTTGTAAAATGGAGAGGAAGGCATAAGGGGTGAGAGACAGGGCTGCCCAGAAACCTTGCTCTAGGCCAGAGGTCCTCAACCTAGGCCTCGGGTGGAACCCAGGCACCCGCAGTGATTCCAACATAGAACAGCTGTGGACCAGACTGTGGTGGGTCCTCGGAGTCACCTGGCAGTCCCTCTTGTCAGACCTTGCTCCAATCTGGCCTCTCAGGGAGCGTGGCTACACCAGCCTGCTGCTCCCCACTCCCCGACACTCCCCAAATCCTGCTCTATGTTTTCCTTTTCCGTAACACTCGGTGTCCTTTAAAAGATTCTGCTGAGGCCGGGTGTGGTGGCATACGCCTATAATCCTAGCACTTTGGGAGGCCAAGGCGGGTGGATCACCTGAAGTCAGGAATTCGAGACCAGCTTGGTGAACATGGTGAAACCCTGTCTCTACTAAATATACAAAAATTAGCCAGGCGTGGTGGCACGTGCCTGTAATCCCAGCTACTCAGGAAGCTGAGGCAGGAGAATCCAGGAAGCTGAGGCAGGAGAATCACTTGAACCCGGGAGGTGGAGGTTGCAGTAAGTCGATATCGCGCCATTGCACTCCACCTGGGGGGACAAGAGCGAAACTGTCTTGAAAAAAAAAAAGATTCTGTGACCCTTTTTGTGTTTATGGTGCTCTCTCCTCCTGTGGAACGTAAGCTCCATGAAGGCAGGGGCCTCTGTGTTGGTGACTGTCCCCAGAAGTGCCCGGCCCCTAACAAGTACTGGTAAACACTGGCTGGAAGCCGAAATGTGGAATCAGCAAGCCCCTTTTCCATTCCTGTCCCCATCACTTTACGGTGCTATAGTCTCCATGACTTTGCTTATTGTTCTCTCCCCTTGCTCTGGACCAGCAGAGACCTCGTCTGTCTTATTTAGGGCAGTGTCCACAGTGCCTGGAACACTGTCCACTCCAAACTCCGAAGGCATTTGTTGAACGAATGCGCTATTGTGTGCAGGGGACGGAGGCTCATAAGGTGTCCTCTGCTGCCCTCTGCTGGGCAGCCATGGGAAAGGCTTCATCTCAAAGAAGGTGGACAGTCCGAAAAGGGGGAGGGTGAAAATTTGGTTTGGGAGCAGGTTGTTAATTACATATTTTTCGTTTTAACTCTGTTAAAATCAGACAAATCTGCCTACACCTTCCCACTCTCCTAGGCCCTTCTTCATTCCATCCATGCCAGGACAACAATCCTGGATTTTTATTTTTATTTTTTTTAATTAAGATAATTTTTAATTGATATCTAATAGATGTACATATAGTTTCAGGGCATCCTGGATTTTGAAGTATTCCATCCTGTTAACTCCATGAACACACTTATTCTCGCAGGCACTGGCTCTCCTTTTTGGGGTTGGACTCCCCTCTCCTGGTCTCTCGACGTTTGCTTTGCTGGAGGGTGAGTGTGAACAGAGCCGCTACCAGCATTGGGCCTCACTCAGGCCGCATAAGGTCAGACTGCTGCTAAGGGTTGGGGCGACTCAGGGAAGGACAGCTCTCCATCTTTTTCTAGTTCCTGGGACTGAGGAGAGTGTGAGAGGGGGACAGAGAGGGTGAATCAGCCACAGCCTAACTGGGAAATGCTTGGCACAGAAAAATCTCGTGTCCAGTTACCTTTGGCTTCTTCGGGATCGAGAGCCTCCTCCCTCCAGACTGGTTACTGTTCCTTTAGGCAGGTTTCTTTTTTAATTTTTAAGTTTTAGAGGCAGGGTCTCACTGTGTCTTATCTAGGCTGGAGTGCAGTGGCGTGACCATAGCTCACTGCAGCCTCGACTACCTGGGCTAAAGTGATCCTCTTGCTCCAGCCTCCCCAGGAATTGGAACCAGAAATTTTTAATGTGTATAGACTTCACATTCTCTTGCCTGGTACTGTCAGGGTGGTTTAACCTGGGCAGAATTTTCAGACTCATGTCTATTGGCCCAAGATCCTCCCAGTGACAAATCCCTGAGCTTTTTGGCTCTAAATCAGCTAGTGTCACGTGGGTTTGTTCCAAAAAACGAGTCTACTCATTCTGTAGAATAACATCCACACCTGACCTCTCTCTGGCCATGTCAGTCTCCCATAGCAATTACTTTTAAAATATTCTGCCCCAGAGACAGAACATGATTCATGTATCCCCATTTGTGGTTGGGAAAATACGGGCTTCATTCCTTGATTAATTTTTACATACTATTATCACTCTGGCCACATGAGATATTGCGTTTGTGTCTCTCCCACTATTTGACAGCCCTTGATGGCAAAGACTGTCCTTGCTTATACCCTTAGTGTTTAGCATAGTGCCTACTGATTTGGAAGAGCTCAATTAAAGTGTTTTGAATGAATGACTTAGTCCACTTGCCCTGTACTATTCTTCTGCTCAAACTAGAACATGTTTGTCTTTTTTTGTGTGTATTCCTGTGCATGTCCCCAAAGGCCCACAGCCCTGGGAGATGGTTCTGTTTTTTTGTTTGTTTGTTTTTGTTGTTGTTGTTATTGTTTCAAACAAACAGCGTCTTGTTTGGGCTAAAGTGATCCTGGGCTAAAGTGATCCTTCAGCCCAAGCTGAAGTGCAGTGGTGCAATCAGTGCTCACTGCAGCCTTGAATTTCTGGGCTTGAGCGATCCTCTGCCTCAGCCTCCCAAGTAACTGGGACTGCAGGCTGCAGGTGCATGCCACCATGCCCAGCTAATTTTTTTTTTTTTTTTTTTTTTGGAGACGAAGTCTTGCTCTGTCACCCAGGCTGGAGTGCAATGGCGCTATCTCGGCTCACTGCAACCTTTACGTCCCGGCTGCAAGTGATTCTCCTGCCTCAGCCTCCCTAGTAGCTGGGATTACAGGCGTGTGCCACCAAGCCCAGCTAATTTTTGTATTTTTAGTAGAGACAGGGTTTTGCCATGTTGGCCACGTTGGTCTTGAACTCCTGACCTCAAGCAATCCACCCACCTCAGACTCCCAAAGTGCTGGGATTACAGGTGTGAGCCACAGCACCCAGCCCAGCTAAATTTTTAAATTCTATTTCTCAGAGACAGGGTCTCACTATGTTTCCCAGGTTGGTTTGGAACTCCTGGCCCCATGTGATCCTCTTGCCTTGGCTTCCCAAAGTGCTGGGATTATAGGCATGAGCTACTGCGCCCCAGCACCACTGGGAGATGTGATCAGCATTCAGTCAATGTGGCAGGGAAGGCTGGGCCCTGGGATCAGTAAACTAAATCCCATTATCCTATTCATCTATAAACGGTCTTTTGAATCCTCCTTGTTGGAGTTTTTCCTCGTTATGGATGTCTCTACCCTCAAAATGTCTTGGATACAAAAGGTTATGTCCTCACCCTACTACCGTTGAGAGGGGAAGGTCCCTGTGCACCGTGGGAACCCTGAGGCTGGAGAACCTGTATGCCAGGTGATGGGCTAGGGGACGGGCATCCAGAGGGGGACATCTGGGGACATGGATTATCTGTGCTCAGCAAAGGAATGTGGGGGAGGGGAAGAGGAGAAGGGAAGAAGAGAGGGAGGAAGAGGAGGGAGGGAGAAAGAGAAGGAATAGATATTTGTAAAGGACAGAGTCAGAGGCCATGAAATGTGGAAAAGAAAATGAGGGGAAATCATATAAAAGATAGTGGTAAAGGGAAGGCTCTGATTTTATAAAATAAATCATTACATCAGGGATAAACACAACAAAAGTAAAGGTAAATTTAGTGCTTACTAAAGGGTCTGCAAAGATTTGAAATCGTTAACATTTTAAGAGTGTTTGAAAATTATTTTTGGCTTGTAGAAAAACAAGGCATGTTTGTTATAATGTGCTGTAAAAACACTTGAATTCCTATGTTAGATGGAGAAGCACAAGCTTCTCAAAATCTTCTCTGTTTTGTAGATATGGGGTCTCACTATGTTGCCCAGGCTGGTCTCAAGCTCCTGGCCTCAAGCGGTCCTCCTGCCTTGGCCTCCTAAACTGCTGGGATTGCAGCTGTGAGCCACTGTGCTCAGCCCTCAAAATCATTTGTGATTAAAAAAAAAAACAACCTTGGAAAGTGGGATCCGTCATCTCATTTTATACAGAGATTTTCTACGGTAAGAAAAACAATGTCCACATTGTGACTGTCAGGATAACGCTGCTAAAGCCAATATCGTGCCCTTTTTGTTTTCGTTTTGAACTGCAATCATGAAAGCATCTGACTGGGTGGTATTTGCTGGCAGAGCTGGGGACATGGTGATCGTCCACAGTCACGAGCGGGCAGTTGCAGCTCTCCTGGGGTCCTTGGCATTCTGCACACACCAGTGCTCTTGAACATTGCTTCCTCCTGTTCCAGCTTCTGACAAGAGCGCTCACCCCAGATTCTGGAACCTTTTGAGGAGTGCGAGGAGAATGGTGGAGGCCCTTAGGGCTGTGGTAATAACAGCAGCCAATACAGGCTGCAGCTACAGGCTGCAGAATCCAGTCTGACGGTGGAGGGAAGATGGAAGGGGAGACGAGGAAGACCGCTTTGGGGATCCCCTTGACTTTTCCCAGGATCGGGGGCAGGGTTGAGGAAGCTAAGGTGTTAGCACAGGCCTGAACCCCCTGAAGACCCCCCTGCCCTGTCATTCCCTCTTCATCTTCCAGAGAGCCCGGCGGTGGGTTTCTCAGGCCTGGCCGACCTCCCTTGCTATTCATTTCCAGCAACAGACCCCATCATACTTTCATGAGCGTCCTGTCCTGTATCCTCCCTCCCTCATCAGCCACCCACAAAGAAAAACCACCAGAGAGAAGCAAACAGATGTATTTGACTGTATTTCAAAGGCAGTGACTGTAAACAAACTTGGTTGAAGAAATAAGAACCACATGACAAAATGCTTGAATTAAATCTTTTTTTTTTTTTTTTTTTTTTTTGCCACATTTCACATTTGAGAACCCAGAATTCAGCTCCTGTTATACAAAATTTGTAAAAATTTATTGCCTTGGCGTAAAGTGACAATCATGCCTTGGCGTAAAGTGAAAATCTTCACAGAAGGGTATGCTTTGTGTCACCAAATGGGGGTGCAGCTGTGTGATATCTGTGCAGTTTGTGATAAAATTAAAAATTTTCTGTGAAAGATTCTTAACTGGAAATTGGAAGGGAAAACAAGAAGAAACAATGTAATGTAGCAGTGGAAACAAAATTCTCACAATGAATAGCAGTCTTTCCAGCTTCTTTGACACGGATTTCCTCATCATCAATGGCGGCTCTCCTGAACTAGGGATGAGTGTGAATCTCCATTTGAGGAAGGGGAAGAAGAGCTTGGAGGGTGACAGCCTCCCCCTGAGAGAGCCAGTTGTGTTCATGATTTTGGTTCCTTCTTCCTCCTAATTAAGCATCTGCCCAGGAGCCCAGGAGCCAGGGCTTAGCTTCCTGGCTATTTTCAACTCTTCTTAGTGAAGACCAGCATTGCCAGCCCACTGACCCCAGTAGGGTCACCCCTGCCCACTGAGAACCAGCCACCCCCTCACCCCCCACCAGAGTTCCCTGAAGGAACCAGCTGCCTCTAGTGGGAGACAGAGTAAAGGCAGAGGGGCCCCTCCTTTCTCAGGTGCCCTGTGCTAGTGTTGGGCAGCTCTAAGGTTGGAAACTGCTTTCCCCACTGAGCTGAAGGCTGCCTCCTGGGATATGCACCCGGCGGTCCCCATTCAGCCCCGGGAGCCACTCGGATCAAGTCTGGCTGTATCCCGAGGGCGACCAGGACAGCCCTGTGAGCAGCAGTTCCCCTCCTGGAACACTGCTTCACCAGCCCATCACCCCAGCCCTGTGGACTGCTCCTCCCTCACCTGGTTTCTACGTGGACCCACCATTCTTGCCCTCCTGGACCCCTAAACTGGCCCATGTGTTTAGTTGTAGAATGGGGGCCAGGACTGGACATGTGGTTTGATTGCTAAGGACCTAGCAGAGGCTCATCATGTGGTAGACTCTGTATTTTATCGTGTGTGTATGTGTGTGTATATTTACACACACATACACACAAGATAGATATATATATTAAGTGGACACTGTATGTGTATATATACACATACATATATTATAGATGTATGCATATATGTATATATGTATACATATATGTATATGTGCATACATATAGAGGTATACATATAGATGCATATCTGTATACATGTGTATATATATACATATATGGATACATACATATTTATGTGTACACATATATGTATATGTGTATATGTGTACACATATATGTATGTGTATACATACATAAGTATATGTGTACACATATATGTATGTGTATACATACATAAGTATATGTGTACACATATATGTATGTGTATACATACATAAGTATATGTGTACACATATATGTATGTGTATACATACATGTTTATGTGTATACATACATATGTTTATGTGTACACATATATCTATGTGTATACATACATATGTATATGTGTACACATATATGTATGTGTATACATACATACGTACACATGTGCATGTGTATACATACATATGTACACATGTGTATATGTGTATACGTACATATGTGTATATATGTATTAAGTGGACATTGTACTTCTGATGTGGATACGGTGATGAAGCTACAAAGTCACACTATCCTATGGCCTTGTGTTTAGATGGAGCAAAGCAACTAAAAATTGCCTCAACAATCCTGCAACTCCAGATCTTCAATTTACACTGAACACCGTACGCAATTGTTCTGGGCCCATCTTTCCAATCTATTGAAATAATAGGGACTGCATCCCCTGCTTCCATCCCCTGTTCATTCCTTCCGTGGTCTACCCACTGGGAGGGAGCGCTCAAGGGGGAAACTAGAAGTTTTAAAAAGACAGGAAAGTCTAGAGAAAGAACTAGTCAAAAAGTGAAAAATCCTCATCTGCCCAATTATTGTTTTTTTTTCCTACCACGACTCTTGCCAAAATTTGGCTGTTTCTTAGTGGAGAAAGGTGGGACATGAGAATTGGGCTGGGAACAAGGAACCCTCACATGGATCGTCAGGCTGGAGGAGTAGGTGGGCACCATACTTCCTTGGAGAAAACAGAAGCAAGCATAAGACACTGTGGAAATGAAAGGAATAAACTTATTCATGTTTAAGAGCTAGAGCCTTCCTTTTGGCTTGGGCATGACCTCTCGGATAGCTGGGAACACCGTCCCTGCTCATGTTTGGGGCGTGCTCCCCAGATACACACACGCATACCTGGCTCTCAGGGCAAGTTGCAGGTTGGCAAGTCCTGGTCAAATGCAGTGTGACTGCAGCCTCTTGAGGAGGCTCAGACTCTTGTGTTTGCAGGGATGTGCTAAGCCAGGTGCATGTGATGCCTGCCAAGCAAGGTGGAGGGTCTGGGGGTTGCTGAGTCCAGCAGCAATGGTGACTGCCACCTCCCCCACACGGGGTCTCGGCCTCTGGCTGGAGCCTTCTTTCGGCGGAGAATCAGCCTGCTCTGTGCCCCCAACGTGTTTCAGTCATGGCACCCTCAAGGGCACAGACCACGTTGGGGTAACACGTGCCCAGTTCTTAGCACAATGCCTGGCCTGTAGCAGTTCAGAAGCAGCAGTGGCTGAGAACCAGGAAGCCCTGGAGCAGACAGAGTGAGGGTCAACCTGGCTCCACACCCTGTAGAGTCACCACGGCTCTCAGAGTGTCACTTTCCCATCACAAAAGGGGGACCGATGGTTGTCAGCTCCCAGGGCAATGCTGAGGACTCAGCAAAGGAACCATACAGGGAGACGTGACCTGCTGGAACAGAAATGCTCCATGTGCATTAACTGTCACTCTTTAGTCCAGCGAGGCTTGGGTGAAGACGGCAGAAGAATGAATCAAAGACTAGCGAGACGCACCAAGAACAGAGGTGCGCTGCCGGGGGCTGACCCTTGGGGAGGGGAGGGCCGAGGCTGATTTATCTGGCGGGCTCAGCCTCACCCTTCACTCCTCACTGAATTTCCTTGGCCATAAAGTGCCCCTTCCACCTGAGGGAGCCAGGAGGCTTGACACGTGAGGGAAGCCGCACACACTCCTCCATCGTCTTCCTAGGTCTTTCACACAAGCCGATGTCCTCCCCGCCCTTTCTGTTTTCATCTCCAAATACATGCACACAAGGTCAAGCTTCCAGGCAACTAAGGAAAAAACCTGAAGAATAGTATCTGCTTGTAGAGTAGCTAGTGACATGGAGCGCACAATCAAGTCTCCCGCAGGAGTCTCCTCATTACGACCGTGTATACATGGGTATACACGGAAGGGTGAAGGTGCCCCACCCTCCCCGGAACACAGTTCACACAGAGCTGCCACCAGCGCCAGCACCACCGCCCTACACTCAAGAGAGGCTGCCCGGCCCCCACCAGACAGGGGTCAGAGCTAGGAGAATGTGCCTGGGCTGCTGGAGAACTGGGGTGCGCACTGGGCACCCCAGGGAGGGAGGGACACAGAGATGGCTAAATGGCAGCGAGCTGCGTGGCCAGAGGGCATGCTTACTCTCTGGTGCTATTTTATGGCAACAGCTCTAAGTGCCACTTTGGTACCTGATACTCTTTATTTCTTATTGGGAGAGAATAACATACCTGCAAAGAAGGCTGAGAAATATTCTCGAAGATGAGACACACAGAAGCCACGGAGAAAAAGGGATTAAGTGATGGAGTCAAAAGTGAGAAGCCTCAGTCATGTTCCTGATAAGAACGGAAGGTATTTGGGCAGACAGCCAAGCCCGCATTGACTGACACAGGGCCGTAACAGGAGAGATTTCTTCACAGACAGAACTGTTTTCCAAAGCAAGCTGCAGAGGCCACCGGTGGGGAGGGGGCACTGGGGACACTTTCCCTGGCCACTACCTTGTGAACTTCTGGGGACTTCTTTCGTTTGGAACTCCCACTACACAAGGCTAAGGCTTTCCACAGCCAAAGCTTGGCAAGCCCTCGCTTAAGGAAGAGGGACCAGAACCACAAAGCTGGCATGTGGGTGAAGACGGCGCCTCTGGCCTAGATCCCAGGGCACTCTGATGAGACCCCACAGCTGGCTCCACTCCCCCACCCCATCCCACTCTCCCCATACTGTGAGCTGGGGCCATCTGGGTGAGGAAATCGCTATGGTTCTTTCTGGCTCAGGGTCTGGTGTGGCCAAGGGCTTGCCCTGTCCAAATGCCCCCCAGAATAGTGGCTCCCTACCAGGCTAACTTCAGCTTCAGTAGTTGTTAAGCTCCAAAACACCCATCTCCATCTAGGACAAGAAAAGGACCCAGGGGGAGGGTGATGTCCCGGATCTCATAATGATTGTTTTCAGTATTCGGATCAGCAGAGAGGATTGGATATGGAAAGGAGAAAATCCCCCACAAAGTTGTCAGGTAAGTCAGGGATAAAATCCCCCGTCCTCGTGATGAATCAGGACAGCCAGTGCCCACAGCAGTTAGGACGCGGCCTCCTGCGTCAGGCAAACCCGGGTCTGCTTACCTGGGCGAACCATTGCACCACTCCATCTGGGCGTGGTGACAGTCCATGCCTAACCCACAGGGATCCCTGTGAGGAGTAAGGCTCTGGGGCAGAAGGGCCACCCCAAGCCGCCTGGAAGTGTGCCTGCCTGTTAGCCACCGCTGTCATACCTTTCAAACACAGCACCTGCGAGGATGCAGGAGACAGATCTGGGAGGTACCACACCCAAGGTCACCTTTCTCCCCCATCAGTGTCGTTGACTTGTTCTCGCCCCAATCCCAGGCAAGTGGGGAAATGTTTTTTTTTTGCCATGAATGCAGACTGGAGGAGAATGTGTGAGGCTTGCGTAGTTGCAAGGCCCCATGGCCCTCCCGGGTTTGCCCTGCTTCCTCTCAGCCTGATGCTTGGTGACCCCCCCTCACTGTTGGGGGGGCTGAGCCTGGGTCCCTGGGGAGGATGGTGACACACGGGCCACACAGGAAGGATTCAGAACCTTCCAGGCTCTGTCCTGGGGACCTGCAATCTTCTTGCTTCTTGCACGCAGCAGAGTTAACTCAATTTTGGTGACCAAGCCTCATCTGATTTAGTCAGTACTGGATGTGTTTGCTCAGAATGACCCAGCCACCAAGACTTTTCCATATGACTTGCCTGACTTTTGAAAGATGTCCCTAGTATAATGTCCCATGGACCACGGGAAGACGTTGTTCAAACTCGAGGCTTTTTTTTTTTTTTTTTTTTTGTGGCGGGGTGGGGGTTGGAGTCTCGCTCTGTCACCCAGGCTGGAGTGCAGTGGTGCGATCTTGGCTCACTGCAGCCTCTGCTTCCCGGATTCAAGATATTCTCCTGCTTAGCCTCCCGAGTAGCTGGGACTACAGGTGTCCACCACCACACCCAGCTAATTTTTGTATTTTTAGTAGAGATGGGGTTTCACCATATTGGCCAGGCTGGTCTCAATCTCCTGGCCTTGTGATCCGCCTGCCTCGGCCTCCCAAAGTGCTGGGATTACAGGTGTGAGCCACCGCACCTGGCCAAAATCGAGGCTCTTTAGGGAGCAGAGTGTGGGGAAAGACAATGAAAGTCGAATATGGAACCTGATCAAGTAGGCACCAAACAGAAACAGACATTCACTCAATGAAGTTAAATTTGCCTAAGAAGGACCTCACGGGACGCTCAACACAACTGCAGTAATGGGAAGGTCTCATAAACTCCGTGAAGCTCAGTGCAGGTTCAATTCCCTGTGAGTTGCAGGGAAATGCAGATTCTCTTTGGAGAAGCTTGGAAGTTTTTGTGGGTGTTTTGTTTTGCATAAGGCTGGGAAGCTCATTGCTCCATCTTTTTTTTCCAGAGCCTGCAGCAGAGACATCCCTCAGGGGATCGGCTTGGCTTAGTGGCTGGATCTGAGTGGAATGGGCTCTCACTTGCCATGTGTGCAGTGGTGCTTGCCAGCCCCATATACTCAGCCAGGGCCATGCTGGCTCCCTCTGTCATAAGACCACTTACGATGCTCTTTCCTCATCCCCAGGGATGGCCAGCTACTCCAAAGCCAATCAAGAATCAACCTGAGGGCTGTTGAACCCAGGGAGATACTGGAACCAGATGCACTTCAACTAGAGTCACTCCAAAAAGCCACTTTGAATCACATCTCTAAGGCAAGGTCCAGGTCCCTGGAGGTTCTGTCAGTCCGTCCTACATGCTATTCTGTCCTTCTGGATGGAGAAGAGAAACTCTTCTCAGTCAACAGCATTCCTCCAGAGACCTGAAGTGGCCACTGAAGCCTCCCCTAGACCCGGCTCAACAGCTGCCTTTTCCCATCATGTATCAGACAACAGGTGGCTGCCATTTTAGAAACAGAGTGTTACAATGTTACAATTATTCTCTCATGACTGGGGAATGCAGCCACCCACTGCCTGTCAGAACAGCACCTCTTCCTGCTCATCTGGAATGACACACGACACAAACTAGAAGAAAAGAGGGAAAACCACCAGGCCGGAAGGCAGGCCTGCTAGTGTCTTCAATGAAACAGGCACCTCAAATACAACTGCACTCATACAACTGCAACATCAAGAGGTATTTCTATTAGCCAAACTCAAAAACATTTCTTTTTTAAACTGCTCAGTGGTTTGAGACACCAAGAACAGTTAATATCATACACACCAGATTATATAACAAAAAAAATCAAGTATTTAAAAGAGTAGCCTGTATTTTTGTTCCTTCACCTTGTTTTTTTTCTTGATACAGGGTCTGGCTCTGTCACCCAGGCTGGAGTGCAGTGGCTCAAGAGATCCTCCCACCTCAGCCTCCCAAGTAGCTGGGACTGCAGGCATGTGCCACCACACCTAATTCTTGTATTTTTTGTAGAAATGGGCTTTCGCCATGTTGCCAATGCTGGTCTCAAACTCCTGGACTCAAGCGATCCGCCCGCTTCAGCCTCCAAAAGTGCTGGGATTACAGGCATGAGCCACCGCACCCCGCCTGTTCCCTGACCTTTTAAACGAATTCACGTATTAACGGAGAATCAACATCTAAATAGACTTTTATTTTTATTTTACTTGTTTGGACAGAAAAGAAAATTCATCAGCTTTCATTAGAGTCTCCTTAAGTGTTGGAAACACATTAAACTCAGAAATAGTGGACCTTGTAGAAAAGCATCACAAATTAAAAATATATTTCTCCATGTGGTAAAAGTGCTTTCAATCCCATTAAAGGGCACAGCAAGGGTGTTTGGAAACACGATCTGAAATTTGGCCTGCAATCCGTGGCATCGATTCCAACCACAGGGCGGGGGAGTCACCATGATCTAGAGCACAGGAGCCACGTGGGGCCCGGAGCATGCGGACAGCAACACTCGCAATAACTGAGTGAGGACGAGGCCCATAGCCTGAGTAGAATAGATTCTGTATTTGTAAAAAATGAGGTGGTTACATCAACTGGGTTGAAGGGGGACTGGGTAATCCCAGAAATTCCTTGTTTCTGGTCTGTGGGGATGGTCAGATCTGCCCACCACTCTGGCACCGAGGCTTCCCTGGAGACGCATAAACCTGGGTTGGGAAAGTGCCCAGATCTGCCTGGGGGACACACGAGCCTCGCTGCCAGTGCCGGGCACGCAGCCTCTCCAGTCCTGCCGTCAGCAACCGCCTCCGGCCCTCATGTCAAATCACACCTGACCAGAGTTGTCACCACAGTCCTGTTTTGGGGTTTTTCCAAGGCCAGCCCTGTTGTTCTGAGGGGCCACTCTGAGCAGGCAAACACTGCCAGGGTCACTCACTACACACAGAGGAAAGACAATGAGCAAATGGCCATCGTAGAGAATTCGGTTGTGTGTTTCAGCAATGCTACTTATTTTTCAAGACAAGTAATTCTGCCAATGATGACATCTGCGACAAAGCTTAGGGCCCGCGGGCTCCCCATGCGCCTCGTGGAGAGCAACCACGTCTGTTCGGAAGCCAGCGGCCCTTCCCGGCCCTGCCACAGGCCAGAACACAGAACTGTGATCATGCAAAGAGCCGTGACTGAGGCCGGGGTCAGCGTCGGGGGTGGAGAGGAGGGGACATCTGCCTTTTACATTAGATCTGAAGCAACAGTAAGAAAATAACCTGAAGATATATTTAAAAATAAAAAATAGCATCATCCTTCACTCCAAGTTTTTGGCATTTCCCTCTCTCCCCTGCCCACCAGCTAAGCAGAGGGAATGAGCAGGAATGCCTCGTTTTTCAGAATGGGCACCCACTCCCCATTTCACCACTGTACACCCAGGATGTGTGTCTTCTTCTAAGAGACCGGTTCAAAGGTGCTGGCATGAGGCAAATGCTGGAAAACCCTCCGGCCTCCCCTGACACCTGAGCCATTGTAACCATGCAGGGCGTCTTTGCTTCCTTCAAGTCTTGAACTTGAACCACGTCCCAGATTGCTGTAGATCTTTAGGAAGCAGGCATCTCTCTTAGAGCGTGCTCCAGCTCATTCTACCACGGGGGCCTTCCTTCACAGTCACCAGTCCACGCTGCCTCGCAAGCTCCACGGATGTCATGAGAGAATCTGCCCTTGAGAACGTGGGTGTAAGTGCTCATCACACCGGCGGCACTGTTTCTCGAGGGAGGACATGCTCTTCTTGGAATGCAAATGAGGACAGCAACCGTCCTCTGACCAGGTCCATCCTGTCCCTCCAGAGGCCCTGTGCATCCCTCCCAGGCAGCAAGCCACACACCAGGCCGTGTCCGGGTCTCTGATGGGCAAGTTGGAACGGCAGGCTCTCCTCCTCCTCTTGCCCCTCCCTTGACCGAGTCCTGCGCCCCCAGCATCAGTGGGTCGGAGAGGCATCCTCCAAGCCCAGCAGCTCTCTGACGAGTCTCTCTCCAAACTGCGCCCGGCTGTACCTCTTCACGTGGTAGGCGTCTGACATTTTGTACAGGATGTAGGCATTGTTGATGGCGATGCTGATGGCGAACCAGAACACCTGCTGCCAGGTCTTGTTTGGTTTATGAGAAATGAAATACCTGAGGACAGAGGGAATAAGAACGGCTGACCCGATGGTTCATGGCACCCGGAGATGCATCCCAAAGGCCCCCCCTCACCACAGCCCGTGAGACGCTGCAGGTTCGCCCCCGACAGAAGCAGGAGGGCTATGGGGGCAGGAGTCAGGCTTGGGATGTTAGGTGAGTTCCAGCTGGGGGTTTTGTCACAGTGAACTTCATTTAAGACCAAGGAAATGAAAACAACAAGGTTGCTGGAGTAGACCCTGAAAGCCAGGTGCCAGGTGTGCTGGGGTGGCGCACAGCCCCGGAGTGGACAGGCGCCTGCCAGCCTCTCCAGCTTCCCTGCTTGCTGAATGCTCCTTGCAAAGCTGTGCTCTGTACGTGCTGTGCAGCTGACACTCCCCCAAGGCCAAGCTCTTCCTCAGCTCCAGGCCCCTGCAGGGCATTCCCCTGCTCCCGAATGTACCTTTGCCATCCCCACCATCCCTGCAGATGAAGGCACACAGGTCACCCCTCCGGGAAGCCCACCCAGACCCTGAGAACACTGGCCTTCTTGGGAGCACTAGCCTCAGGCCTCACTCACTGCACTGTCTTCTCCATTTGTGAGTTTGCCTCTGCACCCTGTATAAAGTATGGGAGGATCGGTATCCTCAATATCTCACTATGTCTGAAATGCCCAGCACAGAGCAGGCACGACAGACATCTACCCCACAAATGCCAGCTGCTTTAGAACAACCTCATAGAACACAGCAAGGTGCCAGTACATAGTAGGTGCTCAGTGAACTGAATGCCAATGTCTTTGTAACAACCTCATGGAATTTAGTAAGGTGCTGAGCACATAGTGGGCGTTCAACAAAGACTTGTTCAATGAATCCCCAAGGAGTGGGACTACCTTTCACACACAGGCTGAGTTTTCCAGAGAGAACCAGGTCCTTGTTTTTCCCTCTTTATCATGAAAAAGGCCAGGAAGTACAGGTTACCCTCAAAGAAGGTTCAGTCAATATCTGATTTTGAGTTAGCCCAACCCTGTTCTAAGTGGTAAGGCTCAATCCCAGTAATTTAATAGTTTCAATGTTCAATAGTCGTCATTTTTTGAGTTCCCATCATGGTGGCTATAATGGCACGAGGTCAGGGGTGGCATCGTGGGTGTCTGGACGTCCGCACATTGTGGATCTTGTCTATGCTGTGTGTAAACTATGCATACTATGTGTATATTGAACATGAGACCACATCTGGTGATCTAAATAGGCATCCATATTTGAGAAAATTAAGGCACCCGTGCTAGAACACATGTGACTTGGGGTAGAAGTGCCCGAGCTGATGCCCAGTGTGTTAGGGGTGTGGGGAAGGAGGACAGCAATTCAGAATAGAGGACTGGGGCAAGCGATGCCAACGGCTGGAGTTTGAGCTCACTGCTGAGGGACAGTTCAGTTCAGTAAGCAAAGGAAAGGGTGCCTCTGGGCACAGGGAATGTGAACCCAGCATTGGGAGAGTGGAGGACACAGAGTACCTGGGCAGAGGACTTCTAGGTAAAGCCATGTGTGCACAGGCGAGGCCCAGAAGCCCAGGCTGAGGGCAGGATCTTACCTCCCAGGGTCTTCATCCTGCAGTTCTTACACTGGGGAAACTAGTGATCATCTGCCATTACATCTCTTCCGAGACGGCACAACTATGAGAGCCCTTCTGTCATGGAGGTGCCCAGCCACTTACTTGCTGTATTTGTCATCGTATCTGCAGATGTAGCTCAGGTGAGCGGCAAACGCCTCCACGGCCAAGGGGCATGGGATCTCCCCACTCTTCCTTTTGATGATGACTCCTGAAGGCGAGAGACAAGATAAGCCCCTTCCTCAGCACCTCCTCCTAATGCCACTTTATAAATGTGCCTATCTTCGTCCAGCTTAGCTGCTCCCAACTTAATAATGAGCAGAGGAGGAGGAGGGGAGGGAAGAGTTGAAGAAGAACAATCAGCACCAACCACCAGGTGCTTCAGAGGGATTGAGGAAAGCATCAGTCAGGTGAGTGCCATGGTATGCGCTGGCCCAGACACAGCACCCCAAGTCATGGGGTTTACAGGCCTCTAGGATCCTGGCAGGCCTGAAGGGGCTCTAAGCAGCATGGGGAAGGGTGCTGCATCCGACTGGGCCTTGAAAGAGTGAAAGCGGAGACAGGGCTCACTCCTCCCTCCCTCCCCCTTCTGCCAGGCTGGGTGAGGGA
This sequence comes from Homo sapiens, assembly GCF_000001405.40. Lineage (NCBI taxonomy): Eukaryota > Metazoa > Chordata > Mammalia > Primates > Hominidae > Homo > Homo sapiens. The sequence goes on from NC_000001.11 coordinate 230,325,814, forward strand.
TGCTAGGAAGAAGAGGTGGTGGCTGAGGTCAGACAGCACCATGGAGCCCTTTCCACCTGCCTTCATCAAAGCCAAGGGGTGTCGGCAACTCGTCACCCCACACAGGGTGACTGCAGAGTCACCCCGCACAGAGCACTAGACCTCACTCCTCCCATCTAGGCTGTGGTTTTGCATCCTTTAATAAATCCCCCGATAAGTGTGTGAGATGATGGATATGCTAATTACCCTGATCTGATCTCCATACATTATATGTAGCAGAACATCACTATGTGCCCCGTGAAAATGTGTAATTATTGTTTGTCAATTTAAAAAAGCAAAAGGAGGCTGCGCACGGTGGCTCACGCCTGTAACCCCAGCACTTTGGGAGGCCAAGGCGGGGGGATCACCTGAGGTCAGTAGTTTGAGATTAGCCTGGCCAACATGGCAAAACCCCATCTCTACTAAAAATACAAAAGTTAGCTGGGCACGGTGGCAGGCGCCTGTAATTCCAGCTACTCAGGAGCCTGAGGCAGGAGAATCACTTGAAACTGGGAGGCCGAGGTTGCGGTTTGCTGAGATCGCTGCCATTGTATTCCAGCCTGGGTGACAAGAGCGAAACTCCATCTCAAAATGAAATAAAAAATAAAAAAGCAAAAGGGTGGAATTATTATCATTATTTTTTTAGATATGAGGTCTTGCTCTGTCACTCAGGCTGAAGTGCAGTGTCATGATCATAGCTCACTGCAGCCTAAAATTCCTGGGCTCAAGGGATACTCCCACCTCAGCCACCCAAGGAGCTGGGATCACAGGTACATGCCACCATGCCCAGCTAATTAAAACAATTTTTTAAAACAGAGACTCACCATGTTGCCTAGGTCTCACCATGTTGCCTAGGCTGGTCTCAAACTCCTGGCCTTATGTGATCCTCTACCTGGGCCTCCCAAAACTCTGGGATTACATGTGCGAGCCTCCACGCGCAGCCAAAAGGAATTAGAGGCTCAGAAGAAGGAGGAGGTTGTCCTTTTCAACCCTCCCATCCCCCAGCTCCGTCCTTTCATGCCTCCTCGAACTTTGGGGGCCCTACACCCTCAAACACCTTTTCCTCTACTAAGTACAACTGGGAATGCATCCCAGGGGCACCGCAAAGGTCATGGCAAGATGAACAAATCCTACCAGCAGGGCCTGAGAAGCACACGGAGACCCATGAGCCCTCCTTGCCCCGCTGCCAAGCCACTGCTGGTCATTCTGGCTTCCCAGGCCTGCCCTATGCGCCACCCACCGCAGACAACACGGAAGATGAGACGGACGCCTTCTTCCTAACAGCCGCGGCCATTCGAGAGTGGCTGGAGTTGACCTACTGTTTCCTTGAACTGGCCTTCCCTCACAGCAGCAAGGGACTATGGGCACAGTGCCATTTTTCTGTATTTTTTTTTTTAAGGCATTGGCTCACAGGATTGTGAAATTTCAGCAATACTTAAATGGACAAGGTCAAAGTCAAACGGGCATGTCCTTTGCAGGTCCACAGGAGCTTCATCTGGGGCCAGCCCCCTCCCACCCCCACAACTCTCACTGAGGGACCGTGGCTGAGGAGACCAGGGTCGCGCAGATCTGCTTACATACACTGAGCCGGACTCTTTCCTTCTTTCCTCAGAAACAGCAGCATTTCGCATGGAAGAAACACTGGCCAGCTTGTGGGAAATTGAGCTGCCAAGGCCTGCCCTAGAGACGCAGGACCGGGGAAGGGGCCCTGGCAATGAGTTTCCTAAAGCTATCCAAGGGCCAGAAAACCATGGCGGCCCCCACACTGGAGCTTCCTCCTGGCCGGAAGACTATGGCCTCCTTCACTTGCTTATGGAGCCCCTCCTCCTGAGAGATGTTCTGCTGTCGGGAGCCTGCAGAGGGGGCGTTCTCCAGGGCTCAGCGCACCAGGCGCCAGGGAGGGCGTGCGGGCCTGCAGTGCCCAAGGACTGCCGTCTCTCTCCAACGCCCCTCCTGAGGATTCCTGTCCCCGGCCCCTTATCTCAGCTGCCTCTGCCTCCAAGACCGAGTAGGAGTAACCCCTTGTCACACTTGGGGCCACAGCATGTGGCCCGTGCAGGTCTCCCATCTCCAGCTATGTTTTGATTTGCCTGACCTCCAATGACAACCTTCTCTGGGTCACAGGAGGCTCTGGCCTCTGTAGGGTTCCACTTGGATGTGAGCAGGTGAGACCATCCCTATAAAGAAATGCAAATCCCCTTAGTTCTTTTCCCGGAACTCAGGATGCCCCGCTCTGAGTCATTAGTGTCTCCGGTGAGTCATGGCCGCTCTCCGAAGATCTCGGGGTTTCCCATAGACCCGTCCCCATAGCCACCGACCTTGCAGCTTTTCACCTCCTGATTTCAGCCCAATAAGAGCAGAGGCTCCTGGACTGTCACTGTCCCAATCTACCTCACCACGGGACATGGGAGACCTTCTTTAACTCTTCATTTCTTTCCCATTCTTTTTCATAATTTTAAATTTAACATGGGGGTTTCAGCTTGAAACTGAGCTGTTTCCACACCAGATCTGCATCCTCTCCTTGAGCATTTCCCCAGTTTATAAACCAGATCACCCTCCTCTCCCTATGATATTTTGGATTCTGAGGTAGTACCCCAGCTGAAAAAGGCAAGGCAGCTGTCCTGTGACATCTTCTGATTGCTAACATTGGCAATATTAGCAAGAGGGAATCTGATAGTGACTGTCTTGACTGAGTGAATCACTGAGAATGGCGTGTATGTCATGCACAGATTCGTGGTGGACGCTGTATTCAGAGCTATATGGATCTGCACACATGTCTATCTTCTCCATGTCTGTCTCTGTGATGTTCAAGATCGACATGGCCCTGTCTTCCCATTCTAACAGTTGTTCTGTCTTAGCACCTTCCTCGGCTGTTAGTGGCTTGACTGACATTCCTGCTACCTTTCTGCAAATTTAAGTGAATGAATCAAGACCTGACTCATATTCATATGCAGACATTCTGCCTTCCCATTAGTCTTAGTGAATGTGAATCCTAAATGGGCAGACTCCAGGAGGAAGATGACAGACCCAAGGTGGATTTCGAAAGAAAAGCAAAAGGGTTTGGTTCACAATGGGAATATCCCTTGACATGTGACAGCATTTAACATTTTTTTTTTTTCTTGAGACAGTCTCACTCTGTTGCTCAGACTGAAGTGCAGTGTCACGATCTTGGCTCACTGCAGCCTCTACCTCCTGGGCTCAAGTGATCCTCCTGCCTCAGTGCCCCACCAACCCCCACCCCCCAGTAGCTTGGACTACTACAGCTACGCCATGCCCAGCTAATTTTTTTTTGGGGGGGGAGGTGGTATTTTTTGCATAGATGGGGTCCTGCCATGTTGCTCAGACTGGTCTCAAACTCCTGGACTCAAGTGATCCTCCCAACTTGGCCTCCAAAAGTGCTGGGATTATGGGCATAAGCCATTGTGACTGGCCTGCATTTAACTTTTTAAAAAGCCTGTACATATGCTCATACTCTGTGACAAAAAGGTTCATGATTCCCTAGAATCTGGAGTAAAAAAAAATTAACCAATTCCTAAAATGTTCATACCTAGTTACATATTTCCTAAAATTGGAAATTCTGCTCAACTACAACCAGAGTATATATGGTCATAGTAGAACAGAATATAAGATAGAGCTGAGAAGTAGTCTCTAGAATATATGATGCTTCAGTTTATCATCTGATATATACATATATATTTGAGACAGAGTCTTGCTCTGTCGGCCAGGCTGGAGTGCAGTGGCACAATCTCGGCTCACTGCAACCTCTGTCTCCCAGGTTCAAGAGATTCTCCTGCCTCAGCCTCTTGAGTAGCTCAGATTATAGGCATGAGCCACCACACCTGGCCCTGAATGAGATTTAAAATAAATAGGAAAAGGATGAATTATTCAATAAATGGTTTAGGCACAGAGGTGCAGCTGCTGGGTCAACCCAGCCTGGCCACTAAACAACAACAAGATAGTAGAGGCCCACTTGATGCCATGCGTCAAAATAAATTTGAAGTGGATTATGGTAAAGAGCACAAAATTACACCATAAAACAGCCAGGTGAACTTATACTTATCTGGCCTTGGGACAGAGCAGAGACCTAAAGCATGAGAGCAGAGAAGGTATCAACAGATCCGCCTATGAAGAAATGAAAACTTTTTTTTATGTTAAATAATACTAATCACAAATAAAAACAAAAGGAAATGAAATACAGAAAACAATGTGCTATAGGCAGAAAACTTCCTTTCAAGTGAATGAGAACGTGACAAATATCTCAAAAGGAAAATTGTAAGGAACATAAAAAAAATCACTCGAAATTAGCCAATCAACACATGGAGAGATGTGCAACCTCTCCAGCAGTCAGAGTGATTGATATTTAAAATCTGGGGGCATCTTCACCTGTCAGAATGACAAATAAAAAAGTAGTGCCGGTAAAGCTGGAGGCATCTGTGCCCGCTGCGATGGTAGAGAAGTACAGCCTGCGGCAACCCATCACCAGAAACCTTGACATCGTCCCACCCTTTGACCCAGCACTTCCGCTTTTGGATTTACCCAGAGGAAATGATCAAAGATGTGCCCAAATGTTTATGTATGAAGACATCACTGTATCATTATTAACACTGAGAAAAAGTGGATCATTGATAAGGGCACTGGCTGAAGAAATTATGGCACATCCAAAGGGAAGGAATACTAGGTACAGAAGACGATCTCTCTTCATGCAAAAAAGAACTCTAAGATGTGAACCCCAAAACAGATTTCCTGGGGAGGAGCAGCTATGAACTTTACCTTCCCCCAGGCAATTTCCCACTCATTCCAGCTACACCCAGGTCTGTGCCCACCTGAAGCACCCACCTGAAGTGCTCACTGAGCAAGTGTGAACTTCCCTGGGAGTGCTTTCTAGAGGTACTGGGGAGGGGACCAGGGTCCCTGGAGTGGGGAGGGGGGCTACAGTGATGCTGTGGTCATTCCTTGGGATTTTTAAGGGACGCTAGGATTCTGAACTTTATGATGTAAAATAGAATACTTTGGATCCAGAAATTGTAAGTACATTAAACATGAACACTAAATTTCAACAGATTTAAAAATCAATTGCCCATCAATATCCTCCTTACATGCTCCTTTGGTGTCTGCTTTAAGAGCTCCAACCCTTAAAATTAGCCTTTTAACATTTGTCATCTTAAATCCTGGAGAGGATTTTGAACCTCTCCAGCCTCATTCTTTTCTCTTCATTATCTGCTTTCACTGAGCTCAGATGAATGTGATGTCCTGCCTTGAGATACCTTTTCAGAGGTCATCACTTAAAATAATTTGGTGGGGCTGGGCATGGTGGCTCATGCCTGTACACCCAGCACTTTGGGAGGCTGAGGCTAGAGGATCACTTGAGGCCAGGAGTTTGAGACCAGCCTGGGCAACATAGTGAGACCCTGTCTCACAAAAAATACAAAAAAACATTAGCCGGGCGCAGCGGTATGCACCTGTAGTCCAAGCTACTTGGGAGGCTGAGGTGGGAGATTTGTTTGTGCTCAGGAATTCAAGGCTGCAGTGAGCTATGATAGCACCACTGCACTCCAGCCTGGGCGACAGAGCAACACCCTGTCCCAAAAATAAATAAATAAACAAAATAATTTGGTAGGAAGCAGTTCCTGCCCCTGACTCTCAAACATGTTCCCTGGAAATTCCCTCGTCCTGCACCAAGACCCTCATCACTGGAGTCTGGAAGTTCAACCCAAACTCTAGCCTTCAGCTTGCAAGGCCAATTCCAAGCCTTTCTTTTCCTTCTTCATCTCCTTTCTTCTTCCTCTACTTCCTCTTCCTCTTTCTTCTTCGTTCTTCCTCCTCCTCCTTTTTTTTTTCTCTCTTGGTAGATGGGGATCTTTCTATGTTGCCCAGGCTGGTCTTGAACTCCTTGGCTCAAGCAATGTCCTGCCACAGCCCCTTGAGTAGCTGGGACTCCAGGTGGGTGCCACCAGGCCTGGCTCAAACCTTTCTTCAACTGATCCTAGACACAGCACTCAAGAGCACAGCTCCCTGCAATCCTCTACAACCAAATCGAGTATTGATGCCCATCTGCTGGGGTCCCTTGATCGCAATCTCCACTGAGGCGTGATGCAACTTAAGCTGGCGGGAGGTGAAGGATGGGAATAAACTAGCAACATACATTAAACATAGATGCACAGACTGTACCGCAGAAACATACACACCACACACACCACACACACACCACACACAGCACACACAACATGCCAGGCAAGCTTACACACCACACACACGTACATGTGAGAGCACAAATCTGCACACAAACACCTGGGCTCCTTAGCAGTGTTCCTTTACAAGTGAAGGGGAAAGAGGCCTTTGTTTTCTACCTCATTCGTCGTCATTTGTCTTGAGGAAAGCCTCCGTGTGAAGGCAGGGGAGGCTGCCCCCAAGCACAGCACAGCTGGGAACGCCTTTGCAAGGGCCCCTTTGTCCTTTCAGTGTTCTTTTCAGTGGTTTAGTGATGATTTCACTGTACGGTACTTTAAGTATAGGCTCCTTGCTAAGTAAGTCCCTTTGTTAAGAATGGATTTTAAATCCTGAGTAAAATCAATGAAGAAATCAGGGAACAGCGGATGAACCAGACAGCGCATATGCTTTACTTCTAAGGAAGACGTTGAAAGATAAGAATGGTGGATTTTTCCTTCCATCAGAACGGATTTTTCACAGAATCCCAGACGACAAAGTGAAATGCCATTCAAATGCAGCCATTATCATACCCCGTGGTGGCTTGAGCCACCTGCAAACCCCGTCAGCATGCACCGCTCAAAAGCTTACAACGAACAGGGAGCTCTTTCCTCGCTGCTTCCCCGCTGCTTCCACACAGCCGCCACACTTAGGAGCGTGGCCCCAGATGCTGGGGAATAACCGAGGGTAGTCTGACCCCAGAGCAGCACAGCCCACAGTGGACGCCACATCCACCGCAGCGGTGGGCTCGGCCAAGCTCAACCAATCCCCGCGCGCCCCACTGTGTCAATGGCGGACCCGCACTCACCCTGCTGCACCGGGGAGTAGGCGTTGGTCAGGAAGCGGAAGTGTCCTTTGTTGTACCAGCAGATCAAGGACATGTTCCCCTTCATCTTGATTTGGTACTGGCCCCGGGCCGGGGGTGTGGCTGGGTTGGTCAGCATGGACAGTGGGAGGCCGGTGCAGTCACTCTTCCGCGCGCGGAGCAAGCCGCAGCAGTAAATCCCTGAGGGGAGAGGGAGGAAGGATCGCACACTCACCACCATCGGAGATGCCGGCGGCTCCTCCGCCCTGGGCACCCCCAAGGAAAGGACGGGACTGCCCGGTTCTGAGGCTGATGCTTGGGAGTCAGACCCTCTAGAGACCCCTCTAGAAGAGACTGCTGAAGTTTTGAGGTCTCGTATCCCTCTGTTGTCTCTCCCCGTGACAATCTCCCCAGGTCCCTCCCTAAGAACATACAGTATGCTAAGACTGCATGTAGGGCTACAGCACAAGCAATGGATCGGCAGCAGCAGCAGGAGCTGTCACCTGGACCCTCACTTGGGTGTCCAGCACAGCACTACGCACGTGTACTCATCATCCCATCTACTTCAAGAAACTTCTGCACTCCATAGGTTATGGCATGCACATTAGAGAAGAAGAACTGAGACTCGAGAAGGGCGAAGCCCCCAGACTCACAGCTGGGAGGGCAAAGACAGGCATGAAGCCCAGGACTGTCCAGCATCCAAACCTGGCCACGGTTACATCATCCTAATGGTCTCACCAGGACGTGGCTGAACGCGAGCCCAGTGCTGAGCCAGTCCACACTGCACCCCAGGAAGCTGTCAGACGGAGCCCCCATCTCCTTGGGGAGCTATATTTGATGCGAAGGAAAGAATAATCCAAGAATGTGAACTAAACCAAGTGTCCTTCCATGAGTGGGTGGAGAGCTTCCTGAGGGAGAAGGAGCTTGAGCTCGGTCTTTCAGGCCTGGAAGACTGGCATGGGTGGCTGGTGGGCGGTAGAGACCAGTATGAACAAACACCCACCGCGGACTTGCTCACTTCCACTCTGGACTCAAGGCCTTTCAGGTCCTTCCACTTCATGGGCCTGCCCCACCCTGCTGGGACAGAAGGCCACAGGGGCCACAAGCACTCAGCTGCTCCCCAGCAGCCTGGAGGGGACGCAGAGACCCTGGGAGCAGTCTCAGCCTTTACTCTCTGCTCAGCTCCCGGAGGACCGACAGTGCCATCGGTCACCTGAACACATCCCATATCCCATGCATCTGCTTTCCTCATCCCCGCATCCCACCCTGCACTGGAAGAAGGACAGTTGAATGAATCTTTTCCTCTTCCGAATTCCTTTCCTTGTGGCAGGTGGGAAGGAAGATGCACCCGGAGGTGCTTTTGAGTCTCGCTGCTGAAAAGAGGAGGGAGCTGCTGCTCGCAGCTCCATTCCTAGCAACCGCACGTGACCACTCAAGCTACTCTCATCTAGAGATGTAAAAAGGAGAATCTGTTCTTAGAAACAGGGAGGAGGATGACATGAACCAGGGTAAGGATGTCCAAAATCACCCATCTGGGGCTCAATCTACACCACCAGCCAAAGAGAAGCTGCATGTTCGTAAGAGGGAAAGAACATTCCAGCAGCACTCAAGTTTCCATGAATCTATCCCTTTATAAACACAGAAATTATTCTAGGAATGTCCTTTCTGGCTTTTGACAATGGTCTGTGTGGCCCTAGGAGGGACAACCAGACTCTCAGCTCTGATTCTTCTCCTCAACCTTGGCTGCCTGAGAATCCCCCAGGGTGGGGGGACAGTGGCCCAGACCAATGCAATCTGTGTCCTGAGGAGGCACGGTGCAGCCACCAGTGACCCTCCCTGTGGACATGCTGGAGGACACTACCCTCAGTCACGGCAGAGGAGGTACATGATGACGCCCTGGGTGAAGAGCTCAGTTTAGATGCTTCTAAAAATAGGCAAGGAGATCTTTTTTATCTCTTACCTAACCTTCTCTTGAAAAAAATCCAAATTCCATATCTAAATATTTTCTTCCAGCTAGAAGATTCTTTTCCCATCCTCCTAATTCTCTGAGCCAAGAGGCATCCCCTCCTCAGAACCACAGGAGCAGCACACTCAGCTCTTTGGGAACCATATCGATGGCCCGGGATAGTCCTCTAGCATCCCCACTCCACCTACCTTATCTCCATGGCATCTACCCCACTCGACACAGACACACACACACAGGTACACACACAGACACAAACACAGATGCACACACAGACACACACAGGTACACACACAGACACACACAGATACACAGATACAGACACATACACATACATACACAGGTACACATACAGACACACACAGACACACAGACACACAGACTTACAGACACACACAGATATACAGACAGACACAGATACACATACAGACACAGACACACACACAGGTACACACACAGACACAAACACAGACGCACACACAGACACACACAGATACACAGATACAGACACATACACATACATACACAGGTACACATACAGACACACACAGACACACAGACACACAGACTTACAGACACACACAGATATACAGACAGACACAGATACACATACAGACACAGACACACACACAGGTACACACACAGACACAAACACAGACGCACACACAGACACACACAGATACACAGATACAGACACATACACATACATACACAGGTACACATACAGACACACACAGACACACAGACACACAGACTTACAGACACACACAGATATACAGACACACACAGATACACATACAGACACAGACACACACACAGGTACACACACAGACACAAACACAGACGCACAAACAGACACACACAGATACACAGATACAGACACACAGACACATACACATACATACACAGGTACACATACAGACACACACAGACTTACACAAAGACACACACAGATACACAGATACAGACAGACACACACACACACACAGGCACAAAGACACACAGACACATACACTGACACAGACATACACATACACACACAGACACACAGATACACACACAGATGCATACACGGACACACAGATGCATACACGGACATACAGACACAAAGACACAGACACAGACACACACAGACACACAAAGACACAGAGACACACATACACCCCTTCTACTTTCAGTCCAGGTTGATGGTGTGAGGCAGGGAACAGGCCCTGGAACACACATAAACATCACACTCGCAGTACCCACGCTCGGCCTTGTACGAGTGGGCAGGAGAGATGGCAGTCCCGGTTCTCACCCTGTGCTCGAACAGAGAACCCCCCATTCTTCCAAAGCAGCTGGGTACTGTGCTTCAGGGCCAATTTTCTCTTGCTTTACTTTCACAGCCCCACTTCATGTCGTCGAATCTCTCTACCCTTGATTCTTCCAACAAATAACTATTAAGCCCTGGGCTTTGAAGATGAGTAAGATGCAGCTGAGGCCAGCAAAAAGTGAAGTCCAGGGCTGCGGCCTCACTGCAGCTGCCAGGGCTCCAGGATGTCAGCTGTCTACACCTCATTACTTAAGAGGGTCTAGTTTTAAGGCCAGATGTCTGACTGCTGCTGAGCAAACGGTCTGCAATTCTAGTCTAGTGGCTGCTGCAGGGGAGCAGGCACTTTTTGTGCTGCTTCTGAGTGGACCAGATCTAAATCCCCAAAGCCAGGACAAAGCAAAGGCCAGGGCAGCTTGCCACAGGGCTCCCTGAACTGGTCCAGATCTTCTTTTTCTATAGCCCCTATTTCTTCCAAAGCCATAGAAGGCTTGCCCAGTCTTTGCCATGCATGCACCAAACACCTGAGCACCCGGAGTACCTAAGGCTTTTCTGAGGCTCATTGTACTGTTGTTCCCTGTCTTCACACAATTCTTGCCTGTCTCCTGGGAAGGGGCCACATTATAGATGATGGGTGAGTTCCAGAGACTTCCTAGAGCCTTACTAGAAGCTGTGTCCAGGGGACGCAGGCTTTTCATGGCTACAGATTTCCAACAGGGGACACACAAATGCCCCGAAGGCCAGGCAGAGCTTTGCGCCGACATGTCCTCTAGACCTTGAGCCCGTGGCTCACACACCTTGCAATCTCTAGTGCCCAGCGGGATCCAGCACACAGGGTGGCTGAGACGCATCTGTTCCCTCAAGGAAGGGCCTCATCACCTGGCATCCTGTGGTTTGTGGTGGCCACCACGTATCTGCACCCCCACCTGGACCTCTCCCACCACTTTCCCAGGGGAGGCTGGGCCGTATCCTCACTGGCTCCCCACTTGACTAACCTTGCTTCTCAAACTCTTCAAACAGCGTCAGGCTGGTGATGCTGGGCCCCGTGAAAATGATGTAGTTCTTGCCTGCCGCGTTCCGGCACAGGCTCCTGGCCACCATGCTGTGGAGCTGGGGCTTATTCTTCAGCGCATCCAGGCCATCTGGGCCCCCACCTTCCTTCAGGTGGACATAAATCTTTAACAGAAACACACAGAGGTTAGCGTGCTCACAGCAGTGTCAGGCTGGGAGCCCGAGTATTCAGCAAGCACAGATCTCATGGGTCTCAGTCATCCAGTTGGGAGCCCATGGAAAAGCCCCCATCATCTTTTCAGCTCACAGGGACTCTAGGTCACCCCCAAGCACACCCCGTGGCCTTGGCGATTGGTGACTCAGCCCCAGATGCTTCAGTTTGGAAAGGTCAAGGCAGAGGAGGAAAGGAACAAGCAGCCATGGGTAATGGGATGGTGCAAATACATTCCCCGGCTTTCAAACACAGGAATGATTTAAATTCACTATAAATAAAATTAAAGGCAACCTCACCTGTTAGGAATACACATTATCTGTGTACTTTCCATTTGAATACAGCTTCTTAATTTACAAGGTATGTTCATAATGACTGTTTAATTTGTTCTTTATAGTAACCCCCATCAGGCAGGCAGAAGAGGTATGATTCCCCTCACGGTGCAGAGGAGACAGGACTGAGGGCTAAACATTTGCCCAAGAGTCCAGGGCCAACAAAGAGGATGTGTGGGGACTCAGTCAGCAATTTTTAAACGTCGTTTCATGCTGCTTCCATGAACATCACCAAAGGGGTAGAGGCAGGAAAGTTAATGGATTGAAGAAGAGCATGTTCAAAAAAATCAACTGCCTCCAGTACAGGTGCAAGAAATGTGACTTAGCGAAAATATCTTAAACAAACAAAACACAACACAAAATGTGGTGTTGGACGACGGTAAGTCACTGCAAACCAGAACTGCTAGAGAAGTTCATAGATCTGAGCCTGCCACAGATTATTTCTACATTAACACATGCAGCTCGCATGTTGCCTGTGGTTTCTATGCAGACATCTACACTCAAATTTTTAAATGCTGTGTATTATGTTTTTTAAATTGCTGCAGCACAAATGACCACAAATTCAGTGGCTTCAACAGCATCCGTTTATGAGCTCATAGTTCTGTAGGCTGGAGGTCTGAGCAGGGCACGGCTGGCTTTTCTGCTTAGGGCAGCACAAGGCTGCAATCAAAATGTTGACTGGTGGGTTCTCATCTGGTGCTTGGGATCTGCATTCCCGTTGTTTCCTTACGGCTGCAGGACTGAGGTCCTGTGTCCCTGCTGGCTGTCAGCCAGGGACTGCGTTCAGCTCCTGGGGGCAACATGTAGTCCTTGCCACATGACCTCTTCCATTGTGAAAGCCGGCAATGATTGGCCAGGCACGGTGGCTCACGCCTGTAATCCCAGCACTTTGGGAGGCTGAGGTGAGTGATTACCTGAGGTCAGGAGTTCGAGACCAGCCTGACCAACATGGTGAAACCCCGTCTCTATTAAAAATGCAAAAAAGTAGCCAGGTGTGGTGGCAGATGCCTGTAATCCCAGCTACTTGGGAGGCTGAGGCAGGAGAATCGCTTGAACCCAGGAGGTGGAGGTTGCAGTGAGCTGAGATCGTGCCATTGCACTCCAGCCTAGGCGACAAGAGCGAAATTCCATCTCAAAAATAAATAAATAAATAAGAAAAGAAAAGAAAAAAAAGCCCGCAATGGGGCCTCTTCTTGAAGCTGCGTCCCTCTTGTGCTTTCTGTCAGGAAGAGCCCGGTTCCTTTTCTAGGGCTTTACTTGGGTAGGTTGGGCCCATGCGAGATAAGTTCTCTTTAACAGATTTAGGACCATAATACATTTGCAAAATCCAAATTCCTTCTCATCAACACCCACATTACTGTTTGAGCGAATAACGGGGAAGTGTGTGCACACCAGGGGCAGGAAGCCTGTATCTTTGAGTTCTAACACACATTGGGGCACACTGCTTCCACACCAGGCACTTCTATGCATCTGAAGAACTGCAACGTGATAGCTGAGAAATGGAGTGCTTCCCCACTTTATTTAATGCTTCCCCACCTTTTTTAAACCAGCGGAGTGAAGATGACGTCAGTTTTATTCCCTGGGAAACAGACTGATTCAATGTACTTTCCTGAAGACCAACAGTGAACAACACCTTCCCCGTCCAAACACTCAGTGTCAGTGAGGATGTAGGGAAATGAGCACTGTGCTGATTTGGTATAAATACGCATAAACTTTCCGGAGGGAAATTTTGCCCATGAATCAAAGACCTTAAAGTATGGCTGTTACGGCAAACAGTATGGAAGTTCCTCAAAAAAATTAAAAATAGAACAACCATAGGATCCAGTAATCTTACTTCTGAGTACACACCCAAAGGAACTGAAATCAGGATCTCTAAGAGATACCTGCACTCCCACGTTCACTGCTGCATTATTCACAATCGCCAAGATATGGAAACACAAGTGTCCATCAGTGGATAAGTGGATAAAGGAAATGTGGCATATACACAAGATGAAATACTATTCAGCCTTTAAAAAGGAGGAAGTCTTGCCATCTGCAACAACATGGACCTGGAGGACATTAAGCGAAGTGAAATAAGCCGAGCACAGGAAGAGAAACACTGTATGATCCCACTTGCATGTGAACTTCAAGTTGAACTAATAGGAGAGAGTGGAATGGTGGTTACGGGGCTGGGGGATGGAAGTGGGAGTGGGGAGGTATTGGTCAAAGAATTCAAAATCTGTTAGATAGGAGGAATAAGTTCAAGAGATCTATGGTACCACATGGTGACTAAAGTTAATAACAATATATTCTTGGAAATTGCCAAGACGGTCGATTTTAAGTGTTCTCACCACAAAAAATGATAACTATGTGATGTAATGCATATGTCAGTTGGCTCGATTTGGCCATTTCAGTGTCTACATATTTCAAAATATGTTGTACACAATAAAAATATACTATTTTTATTTGTCAATTAAAAAATAAATTTTGTAAAAACCTTAAAAATATTCATGCTATTTTACTCATGAGTTTCACTTTTAGGAATTCAATCCAAGGTAACAATCAGAAATGTGTTAAAAGGATTTATATATAAAATACCATGTCCATTTCAGGGTTTTTTATAATGGTAAAAAAATTAACAATGACCTAACTACCTTACATGAAGAGCAGACTGGTTAAAATTATATATGTAGGTATAATGGAATGTGATATACTTTAAAAAATCATCATGTAGAAAAAGTGTTTAATAACATAGAAAATGTTCACAATATCCTTGTAAGTAGCCAGATTATAAAACAGTGCAAGTGTGTGTATATGTGTGTGTTTATAAATATATGTTGACTATACACTCAAGCGGCTATTTCTGTATAAAAAGTATTTATCAGAATGACAGATATGCTGGGCTTTTAATGTTTTTGATGCTAAATATGTAATACAACTTAATCAGAAAACAACCCACTAAAAATAATTATAAAATAACTTCCTTATCAGGATTACCCAAGCATAAGACTATTTGGAATTTGCAGTATCTTTGGGTCTGAGTGAACGGTTATTCATCATCTCCATGCCTGGAGATGACGATGACTCTGAGAATCAGGGTAGCCTCTTGCTGTCTTGGAATTAACACATTTTCCCAAAAGCCAGTGATGTGCAGCTGAGATTTTACAATCCCTGGGTAGAATACGGAAGGCAGTCCTGCCGCAGGACTGCCTTGAAATTACTCAGCCTCGTGTCCACACATGCACCTCTGAAAACTGCCATTTTTCCAGACTCCAGCCAGCCTCTTCTGAAGAAGTGGACGCTCAACTGGGATGTCACAGGAGAAGGGGACAGGCACTGAGCTAAAGGCACTGAGCCAGAGGAGACAGGCACTGAGCCGAAGGTCAAAGATTTCTTATTAGGAAATCTGGAAGAAGGATGCAGCCAAGAAGTGGCACCAATGAGAGTCCAAAGAGAGTCCCAAATGTGTGGCACTCATTGCTATAAAATAATGAGTTTCTAAAAGTGAATATAAAATAGGACCTTCATTTAAATAAATACAAAAAAGAGGTAACCTTGAAAGTCTCAGTTGAGGGCATGATTTAGGAAAAACTGTTGGCAAGGCAGTCAAAATCTGGCCAGGAAAAGGCCCAGTCTAAGAGGTACTGCTTGGTCTGATGGCCAGGCAGGTCCGGTACCTGACTGGTCCTGGTTTGCTTTGACAGAATAACGTCAGTGGTCAAAGGTAGTAACTTGTTTCCCTTAGCTGGATGAGCAACCTCCAGTGAAGTCTTATCCTATCCATGCTCTGTTGCTACAAATGCTTAAGCTATACAAGCTATGCTAATGATCTCGTCCAGGTTTAAAAGACAATCCTAAGGAATCCTGCCAGTAATCTGAGAAACAGCAGAATCACTGGGAACCCACACATGTATTCAGACACTGGGTTGGGTACTTTCTACAAGAGCTCCCCAGACACGACACGGAAGGAAATACCATTCACTTAGATGTGTGACTACTTCCTGGTCTGCTTTTCAAAAAGTCAGATATCTCCCTAGACATATCTAGAGAAAGCACTATCATACTAATATGGTTCCACCAACGTGTGTAGACATAGGTGACTTCCTATCACTGGGCAAAATGCAGCCAGTTATAGACACTTCTGAGCTACAAGACTGCTTGACAAGTATCTCTAGAGCAGGAAAATGTACCATTTGGTGGTTGCCAAGCTTTTCACTTTTCCTAAAAAGTTTTTTTGCTCCTATGATTTTTAAATATATATATATTTAAGAAAGTAGGCATGCAAGTTTATTACTATATGGCATTATACTTTGCCCCAGGGTATTATTCCTAATGTTGCATATTTTATACTGACATTACAACAAAAAGGATCTTAGGAATTATGGATTATAGCAGTTAATACCCTGGGGGACACATACAGCACATGGGATTTATCTTAGCTCTCCTGAAATGCCCCCACGACCTCCAGAGACAGGATCTAGTTCATCTTTTCCCTCAACTTCTCAAAAGAACAGTAAGGCTAGTGGCAGTAGCTGCTGACTCACCAGCTGATAGTTCCACTAAGCTGTTGCTGGGATCCGGGCACCCTCCTGCCTCTCTAACACAAAGAACTGGAGAAAGCCCAGTTCAGCTATACTGGTCTTGACCAATGAATGACCCTACTTCTTTTTCAGCACAGAAGAGAATCAATTTTCTCAGTGAAGAGCATATTTGGGGGAAGGGTATCACATCGTAGGGACTGGTGATCCTTTGCTTGAGTCTTATCTCTAGTGTGCAAGGAGCTATGAAGGTGAAAGTAATTCAGCTGTGGAAACAGCACAGCAGTGCACGATCTGCACTCACTGAAGACGCAGAATGAGATCACGGGGTGTGTGCGGCTGTCACCTGGGACATCTGCATGGGACAGCCACTTGAGAGAGTTGTGAATTGTAAATGACAGTCACTTGTCATGAGAGGAACTGAGGCAGGGAGGGTGAGTGCCAGGATACATGGGCACGGGCTCTGTCATTCACTGGCTTGTGGGTTTGGGGGCAAGTTACTTAATTGCTCTGAGCCTTGCTTTCCTTATCTGTAAGGATAACGTTGCCATATGCACCTTGCAAGGCCCTTGTCTTTAAGTGAAAATTGTGCACATAGAAGTGATTTTTTAATATAGCAAAGCTCTGTAACTGTGCTCCCAATGTGGTTGCCTTCAGCCACATATGGCTGTTTTCATTTACATTTAAATTAACTAAAATGAAAAATTCAGGCCCGCAGCCACACTGGTCACAATGCAAATAGTCAACAGTCACATGAGGCTAGGAACTGCCATCATGGAGAGCAGATATGAAACATTTCCATCATTGCAGAGAGTCCTGCTGGACAATGCTGCTTGTGTCATCTTTGTGTATTAGCTGGGGCTTCTAGCAAAGTCTCTAAGCCATCACCATACTGATGACTTTCATCTCTCATTGCCCAGTTTCTCTCTCAGGCCTCTCACCATGACCATGCCCAGGAAGAGCTCATGTGCTGAGTCTGTTCTTGGTCCTTCTCCTCTCTGGCTGCACCTTCAGCACCGCTGACCCCTGTGGGAGCCTTGCCTTCATCTCATCCCAAAGCTCAAAGCCTGAGGTGGTTCTTTCAAAATGACAGGTTGGAGGAGGGACATGTATCAGCATGTGGGCTCTCTGTACACACTCATGTCTGTGCAGTTGAAGAGTCGAAGTTCTTTAGGGAGAGGGTTGAATCTGATCCACACAGTAGCTGGTGCACTTACCTGGGCACTTAATAAATACTTTATTGTCATCTTTGAAGTCCTATACGGTAAAGAGGTGTGGGTGGATTAACTTCATTCAAAAGTGGAGAAAGAAGGTAGTTCTCAGCTACTTGCTCAAGGACACAAAGAGGTCCACGGTTATGTCTTCTGCCTCAGCCAATCCCATCCTCAACTTACCGTGTCCAACCTGGACAGGATCTCATGCCAGCATCCTCCTCACTGCACGATTAAACAGCTGGACACATGTCCTGCCCTGCCCAGCTTCTGAATCCACAAGCAAAATTCACTCCAGCCAATTAATTCCATAGTGGTCCTCACTTTTAGAGCCAATTCAATTAGTTATAGGTCAAGAGCAAAATATTTCACTTAGTATGTAAAAAGACTGAGTCAAATAAGGAAAAAAACACTTTAGTGCACCTTCTTTAAATTCTTTCAACATAAATAGTATGTCTCAAAATAAGGGAAATTAGTGACGTGGATGCTAGACCACTGTCCTACCAACAATCAAGCTGGATAAAAGATACTTGGCTTTTTGTCTAAATCGGGAAAAGTTCTCTCCTTGGAGGAGTCAACATAGCCTAGTGGTTAAGAAGGTGGGATCCAGGCTGGGCACAGTGGCTCACACCTGTAATCCCAGCACTTTGAGAGGCCGAGGCGGGCAGACCACGAGGTCAGGAGATGCAGACCATCCTGGCTAACACAGTGAAACCCCTTCTCTACTAAAAATACAAAAATTTAGCCGGGCGTGGTGGCGGGCACCTGTAGTCCCAGCTACTCGGGAGGCTGAGGCAGGAGAATGGTGTGAACCCAGGAGGTGGAGCTTGCAGTGAGCCGAGATCACGCCACTACACTCCAGCCTGGGCAACAGAGGGAGACTCCGTCTCCAAAAAAAAAAAAGAAGGTGAGATCTAGAGTCAGAATGGCTGGGTTTAATCCCAGGTCTACTGCTTTGTAGATCTAATTTTAGGCAAGGCAGCAAATCTCTCTGTGCCTCAGTTTCCTTACCAAGAAACAGTGGCGGTGACATTACTTGCCTCTTAAGGCCCTTGTGGAGAAAAAATGAATCCTGCATGTGAAGTGCTTAAGCACAGAGCCTGGCCCACAACACACACTCTGTAAGTGTTCGTCATTCTTTCCTGAACGCCAGAAGCAGCTGCCAGAATCCACAGATGAGACTGAGGGAGGGAAGGGGCTTCCAGGTCAGCTAGCTTAGCAGCACAGGGCACACGGACCTCATTCAGAGTGTCCCTCACAGATGTCATGAGGGCTCTGCCTGGACAGATTCCATGATGTGTGCAGGGGGTAGGAAGCACGGGTTCTTTTGCTTGGGGGTTACCATCTTGAATTCTGGCTTCTAATGCCCATCTACTTCCGGAGTATGTCAATGCCCAGCGTGAACCTGAAGCCCTGCCTCCACTGAGCAGGGCTGTCATCCAGAATTGCCTCCTTGACATGACAGCCACCCAGCCCTCTGAAGACGGTCTGTCCTGTCTTCTTTAGATGACACCTCCCTATGTCTCTCCAAGCCCCACTCAGGATGCCACTCAGGACACCTCCCAGGCATCTGCTCCTCAGCCCCTCCTCAGTGTTCATCCATCTGTCAACATCCCTTGCTGGGAACGTTGGTCTCATGCTGCAGAGGCAGGTGCCTGGCCCAACGTGTTCAAACAGGAGAAATCTGCTCTTTTAGACTATACCATTCAAAAAAATTAGTGGACCTTTTTTTTCTCCTCCAAAGAATCTTGGGGTTCCATTAATCACTAAAGGTCGATGAACATTAACCTGTTGGCCAATTTTTCCCGCTGGAGCCTCGATCTTTTTGACATTGTGGAGCCTGAACAGCAATCTCTGCAGAGAACTGCTTCAGAGTTTTCTTTCCACCCACATAGAGGGCACAGGCTTCCAGGATGAGCAGCCTCAGCGTCTTGGATTGAGGAACTCCAATCGCTCAATTAGGTGGCTTTCCCCTACACTGGAAGAGTCATCATCTGTATAAATCTCTCCTTTTTCTCCTCCTTGGCTCACAGGGGAGCCTGCAGATGAGGGGAGAGGAGGGGAAACCTGGCTAGCTCCCATGCTCACAAGCCCTCTGCAAACAGGGTAGGGCTGGAGGGTATTCTGGGGTCTAGGTTAGTCCTTAGCAGGCCTGTGACACAGAATAAATACAGACAGTCTCCAATTTACACTGGTTTGACTTATGATTTTTGACTTCATGATCATGTGAAAGCAACAGGCATTCAGTAGAAATTTCTTCAAATGTTGACCTTTTCCTTGGCTAGTGATATGCTGTGCAATGCTGGGTGGTGGCAGTGAGCTGCAGCTCCCAGTCAGCCAGGCGATCACGAGGGTAAACAACCATGAAATATTCAACACTTTATTATAAAAGAGGCTTTGTGTTAATTTTGCCCAGCTGCAGGCTAATGTAAGTGTTCCAGGCATGTTTAAAGTAAACTAGGCTAAACTATGCTCTTTGGTAGGTTAGGTGTATTAAATGCATTTTTTTTAGAGGCAGGGTCTCACTATGTTGTACAGGCTGGTCTCAAACTCCTGGACTCAAGTGGTCTCCGTCCTCAGCCTCCCACATTGCTGGTACTACAGGAACTCGCCACTGCACCCAGCTTTAAATGCATTTTTGACTTAAGATATTTTCTTTTTTTTTGAGACAGGGTCTCGCTCTGACACCCAGGCTGGAGTGAAGTGGTGCAATCTTGGCTGACTGTAGCCTTGATCTCCCAGGCTCAAGGGAACCTTCCCGCCTCAGCCACCCAAGTAGCTGGGTCTACAGATGTGTGCGACCACACTCAGCTATTTCATATTTTTTGTGGAGACAGGGTTTTGCCATGTTGCCCAGGCTGGTCTTGAATTCCTGGGCTCAAGTGATCTGCCTACCTTGGCCTCCCAAAGTGCTGGGATTACAGGTGTGAGCCACTGTGCTTAACCTGACAAGGTATTTTCAATTTACTAGGGGTTTATCACAGGGACGTAACCCCATTATAAGTCGAGGAGCTTCTGCATGCTGTCTTAAGTGCACCATCGTATCTAGCAGTGGGTAACTAGCAGTGGAACCCGACCAGCCTGGGTAAATAGCAGTGGGAAAGCCAAATAAGAAGGCATTGGCTGTGGCCTCATCTATACCCAGCATTCTGCACCTAAGGAGCAAGCATATCGCAAGATTTCCTGAGCCCTACCTTATAAATAATTCCCTGCCTGCCTACTTTTGTCTTAAGTGCTGCTATTAAAACATTGGGTGTCTTGGTGCTTGGCCTGTGGCAAGAGCTCATGGCTACTCTCTTCTTTGCCACACCACATACCCTACTGTATATGACTCTGGGGGTGTTTCTTACCCCTACAGGTGCCTTCCTGTAGTCCTGCGACGTACAGACACACCTCCGGTATTGCACTTGTCACGCTATGTCGATGAATATTTTTAACGTGTCCATCTCTCCTACTGGAGAGGCAGTGAGGGCTCCCTCTATCTCTAGTTCTGAGGGGCCAAGCATGAAGCTCACTCTATGGTGGTGTGGTTAACCAAACAGTCCATGCCTAGATTTGCATTGGTGCAGGTCTTATCTTCCCAACTCTTTATTGTAAAACTTCTTGAAAACAGGGACCTGTCCAACTCTTACCAATAAATAAATAAATAAAATAAAAATAAATAAGTATTCTTAGGCTCTAGAAAAGAACACTGAAGAAAGCATTGCCCCAGCCCTCTAGTTCAGACTCCCAGGTGGTCAACAGCAGTGAGAATCAGAGAAGCAAACAGGCCTGAATAAACCAGGTGGGCCAGAGGAAGCCCCCTGTAGTAGCCAGGATTCTCCCGAGACACAGAAGCACGAGTGTGTGTATATAAACACAATTATCTATGGAAGATGGGAGAGTGGGAGAGTGGGAGGAAGAGGCAGAGGTATTTATTTTAAGGAACTGGCTCATGCAAATTACAGAGGCTGGCAAGTCCAACATCAGAGAAGCCCAGCAGGCTGGGCGCCCAGGGACAAGCTGCTGCTAAAGCCCAAAGGCCTTCTGCTGGCAGAATTCCCTTTTTCTCGGGGCACAGCAATCATTTTCATTTTCTTTTCTTTTTTTTTTTTTTTTTTTTGAGATGGATTTTCACTCTTGTTGCCCAGGCTGGAGTGCAGTGGTGCGATCTTGGCTCACTGCAACCTCCGCCTCCCAGGTTCAAGCAATTCTCCTGCCTCAGCCTCCCAAGTATCTGGGATTACAGGCATGCGCCACCATGCCTGGCTAATTTTTTTTGTACAAAGCTGGGGCAACAATGTCTATGCATAATTTGGGCTCTCCTGGAACACACCTGGACCCCCACCATCCCTTCAACACCTTATCTTGGTCCACAGTAGATAGTGGCTGGAAGAAAGTTACCTGGTCAGCTGTGCAGACCTAACTGATAGGCTCCTGGGTCAATTACAGTGGGTCTCAAACAGCTACAAAATCGATGTGCCATATAATAAACATTTACTAAGCTCCCAGGTTTTCAGGACCCAGGTGATCCATCCTGGTCATTTTCTCATGGCCAGGGCAGAGAAGCCAAAAAAGGAGAGGTATGCACTTGCCCCTTCAAATCTTTTCACATACCACAGCTGCCTACATCCTACGGGCCAAAGCCAGCCTCAGAAACAGGAGGGCGTGGGGCAGATGCTACGCTAACGAGCGGCACAGCACAATGGGAGAGGACCCTTAATACGGTCAGCTGCAACTGAGCTTCCCCGCTAAGTCATTCAGGAGAGCTCAATGCATCTGAGGAACTACAATGAAGAAAATGTCCTGTGTACAGAACCCTACATATGACATTTACAAAGAAGAGAGTCATACACTGGCAGTAGAAGGGACCTCACTGGTTACCTAATCCCATCTTTAATTTCTAGATCACAACTCCATATTCCAGAGCAATGACTGAGCAGCTAGTTCACGTGGGAGGTAAATGCAAGAGCAGGGGCTGCCTATGCCTTGGGGATGGACGAGGGAAGAGGCAGGTTGAGGCCCAGGGGAGAAGCCAGCTCTGTGCTGACCAGCTGTCTGGCAGGTAACCCCTGTGAGCCAAAGCCACCTCATGTAAGAAATGGGATCAACACGGCCTGCTCTCTATGTCTTACAAGGCTGTGGGGAGGATCAGGGAACTGCAGTGTGAAAGCTCTGACGGTGTAAGGTATTATTCTGCCCCAGGGCTGTGCTTGCCCAGGCTGCTGACCTTCAAAAGCTGTCAAACCAAGATTAGCACCTGGAGAACCAAGAAAAGGGGCAGGACTCTAAAAAAACAACTGTCCCCGGGTCATGTGGCTCCTCTACGTCTCCTGGCCCCTCACAGGCAGAGATGTCCTTTCCCTGCGCTGTGCCTGCCACAGGCACCTTCAGTTGGACCTAGGAACAAAGAGAGGGACTGCGGGGGCTGAGAAAGTTCTCATGCCAGTCCTGTCACGGCACAGCCTGAAACTGAAGGGTAATTAATTGCCTCCTTGGCTCTGCACCTCTGAGCACATTTTGAGGGCTGCCCCTGGCAATGGTGGAAGCTACGCTGCTTTTGACTGGGAGTTGTCAGCTTCAATTCTGGCTTCTAAAAACAAACTTTCACGCTGCTGCAAAACCTCCTAGAATCAAGAGTTTTAGAAATGAAAGGAAACTTCAAGGTACCAACCCAAACTTCTTATAGATGTGGATTTTACAGATTTTATAAATTTGGGAACGAATCTGAACTGAGAGAGAGAGATCTGTGGCCTTGGCCTTGCCTGGTGACAGATGTGATTTCTAGCTCCTCACTAACTGTAGAGGGAGAAGGGAGTGGTGCCAGATGCACACAGGATCCGCATGTAAACATTTATTCCAAAGCTACACAGGGCCGGTATGGTGGCTCTTGACTGTAATCTCAGCATTTTGGGAGGCCGAGGCGGGATGATCACTTGAGCCCAGGAGTTCAAGATCAGCCTGGGCAACACAGTGAGACTCCATCTCTACCAAAATGAAAATAAAAATAAATTAGCCAGGAATGGTGTCACATGTCCATGATCCCAGCTACTTGAGAGGCTGAGGTGACCAGATCACTTGAGCCTGGGAAGTTGAGGGTGAAGTAAACTATGATCATGCTGCTTTACTTCAGCCTGGGTGACAGAGTCAGACCCCGTCTCAAAAAAAAAAAAAAAAAAAAAAGCTACCTAGGCAGATCTCAAGGATGGCAGGACCACGTTTGCATATCCCAATGCCTGGCACAATTGTGTGCAGGTAGCAGGTGCTCAATAAATATTTACTGAAAGAATAAATGAATGTCCCTTGGGAAAGTTTACATAAAATGAACCCGACGCACCTGTACCTATGGGAGTATCATCACAAAAGGCACTATAGAGATGGCAGAGGACTCTGGAGAATGTGAGGGGACAAGGAGCTGAGGCTGCACCTCCAGGAGTGAGGGAATTCTGCTCTGGGATAGGTCCAGTCTGGCAAGACCCCAAACAATGCCTATGCACAAGCAGAGCCCCAGAGTCTGGCTGGAGATCCTGACCCCAACTCAACCTGAAGGTCCCTCAGACCTGCAGAAGGAGCCGAGATGGTGCTTTGGAGGGAAGACATTTTCCCGGAGCAAGCGCACTTTCCCCACTGTGGTTCTGGAGTGGATGTGGGGAGGAGATGTTCGGCAGAATCTTCCTACGAATCCTGCTGTAGTTCAGGGAAAGATGGAAGTGCAAAAACCCTGTGCCTTGGGGCCTGGAGATGCGGTCAAGCGAGGGCAGCAAGTGAGCGTGCGGTCAGCAGTCACCACAGGGCTGGCCTGCCTGTCTGATGAGAGAAGGTGTCGCTGCGCAGCACGCATGAAAAACTAGACTAGGCAGGGAGACGTCACTTAGGAGCCACATTCTGGTGTGTATCTGTCCCCACCATCTCCCTTTGTGTACCCTACTGCTCCTGGCAGCTCAACCTCAGATGCTTTTCCTGGGAGTATCATCACAAAAAGCAGAGCTCAGGCACCTCTTGTGAAACATGCACCCATGTTGGCCATGCTGGCTCCAAGGTCCTATGACTCGGGCACGTGCTCCTGCTGAAGGTTATTCATAATTTCACCAGCAGGCTGTTGGTGGAGGTCTGTGAAGAAGGCATCCTGGAAACAGGAAGGTTGGGCAGATACCTGGTGGGAGTGGGGAGGCCTTCTGGGACAGCCTTAAGTTTCAAAGCCACAAGTCCAAAAGTCTTGAGGGACAGCCTCCAGGGAGATGGTAGAAACCTCGTATGACCCACTGTTTGGGTGACACTTCCAGCCAACATTGCTACGGCCTGAGCCTTGATGAGTCATTTACCCAGATGGGCTTGAGTCTGGAGGAAGAATGTGCAGGGAACGGGGCCAGGGGTGGCAGCAGCCTCTCCAGGGCTGGCTACCCGCTGCCTCGGTGAGGAGGGAGCAGCCCAGCCCTGGCCTCCGCAGGAGCATCTGGGTGGACTTGGACCCACAGTGAAAAGGGTATGTGAACAAGTTCTTGGGTATCAGATGAGCCCAAGTCGCCCGGATTTTCTTCCCCGACCCTCTTCACCGACCCTCCCCGGGCTCAGCCCAGGGCTCACCTGGATGATGAAGCCAGTGGAAGAACATTGTCTGACCCAGAGGCTGAATTTCCGCTTTTTCCTCTTTCGCAGCTCCCGCTCTGTGCACGTGGCAATGAATACAGGATCCTCATCGATCAGGGGTTCATGTAGCACCTGCCAGGAGGGAAAAAGCAGAGGCTCTCACGGAAGGCAGCATGAGCTTGAGGGCTCATCAGATTGGAGCTCAAATTCAGCCTCTGCATTTGAGCAGCTCTGTGACCTTAACTAAGTTACTTTACCTCTCTGATCCTGACCCTTCTTATCTATAGGAGGGTGGTATCATTATCTATACTACTGTTTCCAGAAAGGATGCAGTAAGAAAGGATTCAACATGCAAAATAGCACCGGCCCTGATACACAGTAGATATTTCATCAATGGAATTTATTATTATTGTTATTATTGGCCTAAGGTCCCTTGTCCCAACTCTCACTTGGTTGAGGGATCTCTGGCATGGGTCCTGTGTCCTCTGGCTGGACATGCCTGGTGATGGGCACCCACTTCTTTTCATGGAAGCCCCTTCCACTCATGGAAAGTTCCAACTGCTAAAAAAGTCTTTCACTGATCCACAATTTACCTATATTTAACTGAAACCTAGGGATGTGACTTCTGTCCAGTGAGAAACAAAGAAAAAAAATGCTATTTTTTTTGGATTTTCAAGACAGCCCTCGTGTCAGCCCACGACCTCCTTCTTCCAGGCTGAACCTCCTCTTTTTATAAATCATTCATCAAATGACCCAGTTCCCTGTTGGCCTGTTGCAACACACAGCCTCTGGTTCTCCTCTAGGTTGTCATGACCTTTCTGACAAGATTCCCAAGGCAATTTTGAAACTAATTTCATCTATTTCAACTTTTTGATAACATGATTATATGACTTTTCCCAATGATAAGACAATAAAGAAAAAAGAGATGGCATAATAAAAATAGGCTCCAAGGAGTGGCCACAGATCTGCTTCTTCAAGGTAAAGCTCTTTCGGGAGGCTTTAGGATAAACTTCAGGAACGTGCTACACTTCCCTCCCTGATCCTATCTCAAGCTTAATTATGAATTAGATTGTGCATCTGTAGGGAACTGAAATGAAGAGTGCAGGCAATGATTCCCAGAACTCTACACGATGCCCTAGATCGGGGTCAGCAAATTACTGCCTAGTCTGGCCCACGTCTGTTTTTGTAAATAAAGTTTTATTGGAACACTGCCATGCTCACTCATTTAAATATTGTCTGTGGTTGCTTTGGGGCTACAATATCAGAACTGACAACACGCAACAGTGACCACACCGATACAAAGTCTAAATACTTACCATCTGGCTATTTACAGAAAAAGTTTGAACAAATCAGTCACCTGAGGATCCTGCTAAAATGTGGATTGTGATTCTGTGAGGCCGGGTCTGAGACTGTGCATTCCCAACAAGCTCCCAGGTGATGGCAGAAAAAGGTCTTCCAAGGACAGAAGGGAGGATGATACTTACCATGTGTGATGTGGACAGCTGCCTTCCATTCTTCTAGGAATGGAAGGTGGGCTGAGGTTGAATGCAAATTGAATGCAAGGTTACCGTGCATTCAATTTTCGAAAAGTGACAGCCCTGCACTGTTCAGTCTTAGCAGTGCATATCTGCCTCCTCAGTTTTTCTACTAATGGACACATGGGGACATCACATGTGGTCTCCCCTGTCTTGTGAAGGGGAAGGCTGGGAGGCTGGCCTAGCTGCAACGTCTCCCCTGGCCCTCACGCCTGGCTTCTTGCACTCGCTGGCTCTTTGTAGCTCATAAAACATTCAAAGCCCCATTTGGAACTATTCAAGTGCAATGAACAAGTCCCCCACACAGTGGGAGAATGGGAGGGGATGGAGAAGGGAAAAGATGGCATAAAAAAGCCCTCTGCCTGTCCTTTCCCTGCCCAATGATCCTTGCCGAAGACGTGCATCCTACTCTGTCCTCTGAGGCCACAGCAAATGAAAATTGCCCTCTCTCATTCTCTTCAGAAAGAAAGTGCACCTCTATTCCACTTGCATTGAACATATGATCAGTTGCAAATTTATATTTAATCACATGCCTTATCAAAGCAAAAGGGCCAGCAAGAATTTCTGACCCTCAATGATCTTTTTCCTTTTCTATCATCATTAAATGAATTATGAATATGTCATTACTAAATGCAGCACGGAACAGCATGCTCCCCAAAGCTCCAAAAACTTTGCCTGCCAGAAAAACCACTTGCTTCTCCTCCAGGCTACACATGGGTCAGCATTTCTCTGTTACATGACTGTATCTCCTGAGCCTCCTCCTGTGCTTGATGAGCTCGTTTTGAGGTGTGGAGGGTGGTAGGTATGGTAGGGGAAAGACAAAACATCCATTTATTGATTTGCACAATCCCTCCCCGAAAATATTTCTCTAATTAATCTGGCTCCAGTTTTGAGGAGATGCAGTATCTCCCCATTTTGTATTTGTGTAGAAACACACACACACACCCCAGCTGCTTTGGTCATTGCTACATTCTGGGAATCCTCTGAAGACTCTAAGACCAAACTCGTACCAAAGGGTCACAGCTGCTGGAATAAAACGGCTCCCAAGATTGCAGGCTGGAGGGTGCGAGTGAGCTGAGTGTGTGAGGTGAGTGTGCTGTGTGTTTGGAGTGCAGCCCTGAAGGATGGTGTAAGGGACGGGTGCAGAGTGATTCCTGGGAATCTGCAGCTAATCCATCCACACACACACCTGATGAGGGCAATGGGAAGAGAACTGTTCCAACTGGTGTCTGCAGGCAGAGACAATGACCCTCCAAGAAAGCCCTGAGGCTTACAAGCAAATCATTGCCTCTCTGTGAGCTGAATGTTCCAGGGTCCAACAGGGATTTTCACAGAGCCGGAAAGCTGCGAATCCAAGGCTCCTTTAGAGCCTCCAGCTTCTCCAATCAAGCATCAGGAGAAGAACTCTCTTCCTTCTTTAAGTGGCAGATGCGTCTCTGAGAAGAGCATAAATGCAGGAGCCGAGCAGGGCGGGCCGATGCTGGCAACCCAGGGAACAGCAAGGCCTGCAAGCCCCTGGGAGAGCCAGGCCCACCCCAACTGGAAAGCCCGGGGCATCCTCAGCAGATGGGGCAGGCTGCTGCTCCAGGGAATGGAGGGGCACAGGTGACATACAGGAAGCCCCAGGAAGCATGAGGTTCTGGTCATAGTAAACACCCAACCGTACTCTGTGGTTATGACTTCATCTCCTTTGACTTACCTTGCTCTACACCTACTGACACGGAGCTGGTGCAACAGGCTGCGTGGCACCAGTCAGACCCTTTGACTCTCCTGGAGCCACATGCCCCAGGCTGTATGATGGAGTGTGCTGGGTGTTCTCTGTTTGCCCCCCAGGGTCACTTTCCACCCTGCAGACCCTGAGCTGAGGCCTGGAGGTCAGCTTCTTATAAATTACCCCACCCAGCTTCTCTGCCCCTAGTTTCTGGCTTGTTCAGCCAAGTGGGAGTCATCAGCAAGAGGCCAGAGAGCAAGGGAGTCAGGGGAGGGACCTATGATCAGCCCCTTAAACTTATTTCGAACTTATTTCATGTATTCAATTTTTTGATAACATGATTATATAACTTTTACCAATGATAAGACAATAAAGAAAAAAGAAATGGCATCATAAAAATAGGCTCCAAGGAGTGGCCATAGATCTGCTTCTTCAAGGTAAAGCTCTGCCCACCTGCCCTGAGGCCTCTCCCTGGGCTACAGCCTTCTCTGCTCCCTTCGGGTCTCCCTTAACCCGGATCACACCCCTAGCCAACAGTCCCTGCATCAACATCTCTTCGGCTGCCCTGCTAGATGGAGCTCAGCATCTGTGTCCTGCTGGGATCCTCACTACCACGTAGGGGCACCGAGTAGAAAACGTAGCAAGAAGAAAATGTAATTTCCCAAATACAGTAAAATAAAAATGAAATACAAAGTAATGGAAGGAGAGAAGAATGAGCTGGAGGAGAGAGAGGAGGAAGAGGTGGAAAAGTGAAGGCAAAAGTAAAGGGGAAAAAGCCCCAAACATGACCTGAGAGCCCTTCCCCAGATTGAGCCTCATCTCAGGCCCTGCTTCTGCAAGCCTCATCACCTGGAAGCAAATACAAGTGAGCCGCAGAATAACACGATCATCCTTCTAGGCTCTCCCTGTTCCTGGTACCCCGGTACTGCCCATCTGAGCCATGTGCTAAGGAGGCAGAGTTGCTCCCTTGGACACCTGCCTACTTGCCCACCTGCAGTCCAGCCACTGCCCACCCAGCCAGGCTCAGCAATGCTGCTGGGCCTCCCCTCAGGACACCTGTACCTGGGAGCTGCAGAGAGGTGAGCCCACAAGTCTCAGAATTCCTAGTAGGCGCTGCAGTGTGCCAGAGAGGCCAGGCACTCACCCTGGACTTACACTGCAGATACCTCTTGAGAGATACTTAGGCACAGCGAGCACACAGCCTTCTGCGGCACCTCTCCAAATGTTTGACCCCAGCATGGTCTGAATGTGCTGTTTATTTTTCCCTTGCATCCAGGCAATCGTCTCTCATTTGCTTCATTTTCAACCAAGCAAGTATTTAGTGAAAGAAAAGACAATGTGCTCAGGCCCGTCCTTGGTACCACAGGGCCTGTTACAGGGCAGAGCTCATGTCCTCGAAAGTCTCCACTTCTTGTTAGGAAGGTAAATGACACACTGGAGGATGAGGCGCAGTGGCATCTGGCTGCCCCATCAATAGTGGGGGGAATTCAGATAACAGGGAATCCACACGGGACTGTGGGCCTTACACTGGCCCTGGAGACTGGATGCATTTGCAAGGCAGAGAGAAGAAGGCGGCGTTCCAAGGGCCAGAAGGCACGCTGCAAACACTTGGAAATCATAACGAGCCTGACATGTTCACCAGACAGTGGGGAGAACGATCCAGAGAGAATGTAAGGCTCCCACAGACACGAAATAGGGCACTGCCTTCCCCACAAAAACCCTGTGATTTTCAGCTGTGTGAGGGGAAGGCACGCTATAGAGAGTTAGAGAGAGGACCTACAAGAGAATGGCAACAAGAATTGGAGGTTTATTTAGAAGAGCCTTAGAAGCAGCACAGGACAGAGAGATGTGCAGTGGGTCTTTAAATATATACATAAAATTGAACTGAACTTCTGTTGCCACACAGACCAAGTCAAAGGGAATGGGGCTCACATGGACCAAGAACTTCCTGGTTTGGGTTAGAGACATCTCTAGAAATTAGCCATCTCATCGGTTTGCTAGACCAGCCGGGCAAATTTTGAGGAAGACTCTGGAGTTCTATCTCCCCAGGGCCAGGTGCCATTGTCCCAGGTGCAAGTGGATACCAGTGGAAGGCAGGAAGGGGCTCGGGAGCTGAGAGTAGGCAGAACCTTTTCTTCTGGAATTGGTTGGGGAAGGTATTAGGGAATCAGACCAGAGATGCCTGGAGCTCTGCCAAACCCTCATCCAACAGCTCTGGCTCTGCTCTGTGTGGGCATAAGTAACCCCCGATGATCTGAAGAATGGTCCTAATTCCAGGCTCACTCCCTCTGCCACCCAGGAGGCTTCTAGCCTCCTTTCGTCACCAACAGGTGAGGCCACACTCAGAGAATATGACAATAAAATTAATATTCGCCTGAGCAAAACACCATTTGGAAAGTATAATTAAAGATAAGGAAGGAAAGGGAGAAAAGAGGCGGAAGATTGCCTCTCAGAGCAAAAGACTGAATTCTGACTTGTCTGAAGGCTGGAGCTATTATTATTACTCCCCTCCGATCTCATTTGGATTATGTGGATTAATGGAATGGAAGAATAGCAGAGGTGACCTTGAAGTGAACTCAGAGGGCAGGCAGGGCAGGAAGGACACCCCAAAGCCCTGCCAACAGACAAGGCTAGGCCGAGAGAGCGAGGACACCTGGACAAGCTCTTACGTCCTGCGTGGGCCTCACCTGGGTTTGGGAAGGCCTGAAGGCAGAGTCGAAGCTGTTCTGCAGGGAGTCGAGGAAGGGCTGGACCTTGTAGAGCCCGTGCGTGGTCTGGCTGGAGCGGAAGGCCACGACGTGGAAGTACTTGAGGATCTTCTCGAAGCGGGCCTGGCTCATGACGAGGGCGAGGCTGCGGTTGCTGTAGAAGCCTCCGCTCCAGATGCTGAGGACGGACTCGCAGTGGGAGATGCTGGTGGAGATCATGTAGCCCAGGAACGCCTTCATCTCCGTCAGCGTCACCTCCACCCAGGCTCCGTCGCTCCCAAACCGCTCCTGGAACTTCTTGGCATACATGTTTGTCTGCACCACCATGTTCTTGAGGACGTTGTCTGGGACAAAGAGCTGGAAGAAGTCCACGGCACTGGCGCTGGGGGGCATCTTTCGGGTGGGACCTGAAACCCAAAGACAGGTGGAGTGTTCCTTAGGACGGCCGCCACACCCTGACTCGACACGAGAACGGCTGCATTTCCAATCCCTGGGTCCCTGGCCGAGTGCCCCCGCTGCCTCCAGTGCTACCGCCTTCCCCTCCAACCTTCCAGAAGCTGCTGCAACCACCTGACAGTGCCGGCTCCCATAGCTTTTGTACGCCCCTTTGCTCCAAAACAGCCAGCTCTCCTGCTGTGTGTGTGGGAGCGCAGCTCCTCCCAGACACCACAGGAACAAACAGCCCTGACACCCGGAGTGCAAGCTGCAGCCTGCATCTCCACACCAGACCGGAGGACAGCCCTCGGGGGGCGCAGTCACGTGGAATCCCTGCTCTCCAGAACCCGTGTGGCACAGGGTGTCGGTCTAGGGAGTTTCACACACTCGGGGCACAAGCCGAGTCTTAACTAGAGATGTACACACACACATAAATGTATATGTTTAAATATATATATCATATAAATGTATACATCAACATGTAAGTTTTAAAATTAAAATGTGCATATTTATACATATAAATTAAAAGCACTGTCTGCCAGTCTGGGGTACTTCTCCGTACAAGGAAGAAAGCATGCATATACATACATATATATACACATGCATATATACACATACATACACACACATACATACATACATACACAGGCACACACACATATATACACATACATACATTTAAAAATAAATACAGATATTACAAATACATCGATGTATAAATGTTTATATATATATGTATATACATTTAAAAACAAAAGGCACTCCAACACTCCCCCCAGACAGCAGTGCACAGCCCCTCCTGTCTCCCGCCACGCCATCACACAGGGCTCCTCCCTCCCCTGCAGACCCCACGCTTTCCCTGGGAATGGGGGGTAGAATGCAAATTCTTACAAATCTGGCACATTCGGTAAATACTGATCTGAAGAGAAAAAGACACATAAGGGGAGGGAGGAGATGCAAAGACACGTGGTGTTTCTAACACAGGGGCATGGCTACGGCTTTCTGGCTTTCATTTTCTGGTAAGTTGAGGCGGTTTTGTAAGTAAAACGCTTTCATCACTTGGGGCCTGAAAAATTCCACCTAGGAAAAAGCAATTTTCATTAAACGTTCCCTATGTAGTCACTTTATGGTGACTAGGGACTACATCTGAAGGGGCTTATTCATATAATTTCACATATAGGATAAAACCTCACAATTTTTGACTAATGCAGCCCTTTGAATACACACACACACACCTCCCCGCCCCCCCACAAGATGTTTCAGTCAACAATGAACTGCATATAGGATGGTGGTCCCATGTAATTATAACACTGTATTTTTCCTGTACCTTTTCTATGTTTAGATATGTTTGGATGCACAAATACTTACCATTACGCTACACTTGCCTATTGTACTGTATTCAGTACAGTCACATGCTGCACAGGTTTGTAGTCTAGGAGCGATAGGCTATGCCGTATAGCCTAGGTGTGTAGGAGGCTGTGCCATACAGGTTTGTATAAGTATACTGCATGATGTCTGCACAACAAAATTACCTAATGATGCATTTCTCAGAATGTATCTCTGTCATTAAGTGAAGCATGACTCTGTGTGTGTACACACATATATTTTTAAAGAGCTATGGCTTACAATTCTATGTAGTAACCTAAGATACACTAACTATATGTAGAGATTTGTAAGAGACAAAATTTGCTTCTATTGCATCTGTATATTGATTTTTCTTTTCTTTTTTTTTTTGAGATGGAGTCTCTGTCACCCAGGCTAGAGTGCACTGGTGCAATCTCAGCTCACTGAAACCTCCACCTCCCAGGTTCAAGCAATTCTCCTGCCTCAGCCTCCTGAGTAGCTGGCATTACAGATGCCCGCCACCACGCCTGGCTAATTTTTGTATTTTTAGTAGAGACGGGGTTTTGCCTATCTCTGCCCAGGCTGGTCTCCAACTTCTGACCTCAAGAGATTGGCCCGCCTTGGCCTCCCAAAGTGCTGGGATTACAGGTGTGAGCCACCGCGCCCGGCCTGTGTATCGATTGCTAACAAAAGTTGTTCTCATTCTTCAGATTTTAATCATCACTCTCTCCAACCTTCCTTTATTACTGATTTAGACAGTTTCTGAAAAACAAGTTTCTGCAGAAAAATTAAGAGAGATAATGTGTATGAGACAGCCCAAGTTTTAGAATCAGAGTGATGGATGGGGCTCTGACACCCCAAATTTACTTCTAGCTAACTGCACAGTCTTAGAGGAATTTCTTAATCCCTCCTAGCTCTAGTTTTCTTGTAAAAATGGACACAGGAATACCTACTTTGAAAGGTTGTCATGCAGCGTGAAATAAATGAGATCATGTGAATAATGCACCTCACCTGGTGCCTGGCCCTAAGGGAGGTTCCTGAGGCTTGGTAACTTTTACCAAGATATCATCAACAGAAATTCATTGACAGCCAGGCCGAGGGCTTTCCAAGGAAGACTCTAACTATCTGCATTTTACAGAAGCAACAGTAGCCTGGAGGGTAAAGTGGCACCACATACATCACTTTCACCAACCATTTTTTGGGCACCAAACAGGTCTTGGAGGAAGAGGCCCTGGCTGGCATGACGATGAGGCCAGGATGAATGAGGGCCGATTCCGCAGGTGTAGCCTGAAGCTCCACACCTACTCCTAATGAAAATCATTTTATTTCAGCACAGCCTTGCAGCCTCCGGTGGGTGCAGCCGTCAATTATTCAAGGATAGTGCTCAAAGAGGAGGAAAACCAGCATTTTAATTGCTACATCATGCTGACGAAGCAGAATGGAATTTTCTCTGCTTAAAGTTATGTTTAAAGTAATTTTGCCCCCCAGGCCATTTCAAAATGAATTCACATGCAACCCCTGGCCTGGGCCAGCTGCTTCATGAAGGAACTGGGAAGCAGCCAGCTCCCTCTTAACTGTTTGGTTTTGATTTACAAGCATTCTCTAAGGCCTCTTTGAGTTGCTGGGATTACTGGGATTTGAGAAGTCCTGGCACAGGTGAATCACTGTGACCTGTGGAGGGAGGGAGGGAGGGAAGGAAGGAAAGAAATGCTATTCAGGAGTCAGTGATATGGTCTGGCTCTGTGTCCCCACCCAAATCTCATCTTGAATTGTAATCCCCACGTGTTGGGGAGGGACCTCCATGGGAGGTGACTGTATCATGGGGGCGGGTCCCCCATGCTGTTCTCGTGATAGTGAGTGAATCTCACAAGATCTGACAGTTTTATAATTGTCTGGCATTTCCCCTGCTTGCACTTCTCCTTCCTGCTGCTCTGTGAAGAAGGTGCCTTTCTTCCCCTTCCGCCATGATTGTAAGTTTCCTGAGGTCTTCGAAACCATGCGAACTGTGAGTTAATGAAACCTCTTTTCTTTATAGATTATCCACCCTCAGGTATTTCTTCATAGCAGCATGAGAACGGACTAATACAGTTAGTCCTTATCAACAACTTAATCACAGGACCATTGAACAATATGGCCCTGGCATGGGCAGCACCCCCAGCCAAGATAAGACTCGGATCCGTTTATGAGAGCTTCCCAGGTATTACCCATGTAATCCTCACAACATCTACGTGAGGCATCATCCCATTCGGCAATTGAGGAAATGGGACCTCAGAATTGGAAGGACGCAGCCCAAGGGCATCCACTCTAAGTGACTCACAGCTGGGGAGGCCTTCCTCCCAGGCCAGCCTGAGTGCACCTGCTGTGGTTACTAGCAGCAGCCCTTCTGTCCCTTTTACGTGGCTCTCCTACACATGGTACCTACATACGACTGAAGTCACGGGATGGTCTTCCCATCACCTCCTCCCTCTTCCAAACACAAAACTTCCCTCCACCTCCACAGTGCTCATGTGTTGCGGGGGATAACGCAGGATGAAAATGCATATCTACAGTAACTCTGAAGGGGAAGGGAGAACCTATGTGGGTTTAAAAAAAAATTAAAAAGCAAAGGCAGAATGGAATTGGGAAGGAGGAGGTGGAGGAGACCTAGAGGAGGAAGAGGAGGTGCTGCTTGGGTGTGCCTCGGTGTCTGGGCTAGGATGAAGGGTTGTGCATGCTGATGGTGCATTGCCAGACAAAACTCATACTGCCATGTCCTTTCCTTCCCCCACCGCACCAGGCCATTCATGTCAAGGCCCCCATCACACCACCTACCTGGGTTCCCCACTCCCTCAGACCCAGGGCAGCATGTATAGTGGCTTGGTAATGCCCAATCCCACAAAGGGATCCCCTCTCTCCCTGTTCCCAAGAGAGGAAACAGATTCCCTCTTCTCAGCAGTGACTAGAAAAGGAGATGTTCCATTTATAAAGGGGATTGTAACACAAGGGCAATTATGGAAACCACTCATTCAATGGACATTTGATCCTGAAAGTCGAAAGGAGTAAGACTTGATATTCCCTCCCCAGGAGCTGACTGGGAGTAAGAGCAGCAGGCAGCAGGAGCTGGGACCCAGGCTCAGAGGAGAGCTGTGCCTACAAGAAGGGCCCCAAACCCAGGCCTCAGGGTAGGCAGGATCCTGAAGGCTTCCTGGAGGCCTTGTCTGAGATGGGCTTAAAAGGGTGACTGGTAAAAAGCCATCAGCCCCAGTGGGGAGTTGCGGGGTATTTCCAGCAGTGAGAGCATCTCACGCAAAGGTCCTGTGGCCAGACAGAATGCCTTGAATTTAGTGCAACTGAGCAGGAAGGGGAGTGGGTGGGGCTGGAGGCATCAGTGGGGCATGAGGGTCTGGTCACTGTCACAGGGCTCACACTTGCCCAAGGGCGCGGGAAGCCAGTGAAGGGCTGTGAGCACCACGTGACCATGCTCTTGCAACTTCAGCAGGCTCACTCTGCTGCACGAGAGGGTGGGGGAGGATCTGATGGCTGTTCCCCAAATCAGGTGAGACCTGGCTGGGATTTAGCTTCCTCTACCAGCTCCTTCACCTCCATGCTCTGCACTGAGTTTCCCCACGGGTGTGCAGGGCACGAGGAATGGATTATAGGGCGGCCGAGGCGTCGACTCCATCCACAGCTGTCGCTGCCTCTGGCCTGGATGACAGACAGTTGTGGAGGCTTGCCGGGGAAGCCTGTGTCAGACCTGGACCGTGGCAAGCTCTTTCCCGCCTCAAGGCCTGATCCTCCTGGAAGGAAGCCCTCCTGGGGCTCCAGCTTCATGAAGCATCACCTTCTGGGGGAACCTCCTGACCCCCAGGCCAGCTTCTTCATCTCAGCCCTGACTCGGTGCCTCTCCTTGGGTTTAGCACAGTTCACAGCTGTCCCATCGGCCACTCATGCTCGTTTTTGGTCTGCTTGTGTGGCCCGTCTCCCGACCCCAGCTAAAGTGTGAAAGCAGAGGTCAGGGTTGGTGTGTTCTGTGTCCTTGGAGCCTCGTATACAGCATGTTTACCTCTTAAACCTGTTGACCGTTGGATGACAAAGGGGAGGGGAGAGGCCTTGGCCCACCCAAGGGGAGGAGCATCTTTTCTGTGTTCAGTGGGAAGCATTGGGTCTCTATGGCAACAGTCCCTGTGCTAATGCCTGGTGACAAGGTTAGGTCAGCCAGGGACACCTGTGCATATGGGGAGGCCTGAGTGGGTGGGTGGGACGAGTGGTGAAAGTACAGTGGGCACACCTCTCGGTCACATCCCTGAGGATGCCCACGCCATCTAGGAAATCAAGTGGGGGTGGGCCTACTGAGTCCCAGGTGAGAGATGGCCTGAGAATTCAGGACACACAACCTCTCTGCATCTCAGTTTCTTTATTGATCAAGTGGGAACCACCACCCCACAGCGGGTAAGAAGATCACATGACCTCGCACACACAGGCAAGAAGGCAGCTCTGGGCCTTAGCGATGCAGGTCCTGGGGGCCGCTCCTGCTCTCTGCCTTCATTCAGATCTGGAGGCCAGCTAAGCGCCCCACAGGTGGGACTAATCCCCACCCTTGCCCCATCAGGAAGAAAAGGATGGCTTTGGCCAGGCATGGTGGCTCATGCCTGTAATCCCAGTACTTTAGGAGGCCGAGGCAGGCAGATCACCTGAGGTCAGGAGTTCGAGACCAGCCTGGCCAATATGGTGAAATCCCGTCTCTACTAAAAATACAAAAATTAGCTGGGTGTGGTGGCGGGCGCCTGTAGTCCCAGCTACTCGGAAGGCCAAGGGAGGAGAGGTGCTTGAACCTGGGAGGCGGAGGCTGCAGTGAGCCAAGATTGCACCACTGCACTCCAGCCTGGGTGACAGAGCGAGACTCCATCTCAAAAAAAAAAAAAGTGGCTTTATGTGCCTTCTAAAC
Organism: Homo sapiens; assembly: GCF_000001405.40. NCBI lineage: Eukaryota > Metazoa > Chordata > Mammalia > Primates > Hominidae > Homo > Homo sapiens. Next base: position 230,363,618 of record NC_000001.11, read on the forward strand.
TGCAGCCTTTTAGAGCCTCAAGCACTGGTTTTGCAGGGGTCAGTGAAAAGGGAATTTTGCATATGCTGATATTTTTTGGTGCAAACTGTCAGCCGTTTTGTGATATAGATAGAATCAATTAATATTTTAAATGAAGGGCTTAAGAGGATGGAATCATTTATCTCCAGGCTAAATCAAACAGGTACAAAAATATAACCAGAATGTGCTGCAACACCACAAAAATATTCCTATCATTTGAGACACAAAGTTACACTCCCTAAAAGGGCAATGTAGGAAACAGCCAATCTCGTTGTTTTCTCAATGCCAGCTGCAGCTGGTACTTATCTTCAGCTAAAGTAATCACCATTTCTCTCGCATCCCTTTTTCCTTCCCCCTTGTGGCTGAGATGAAGGACAAGCCTATTGTCTAGTTAGTAAACACCTGGGGTCCAAGTCTCAACTGTAGAATTCAGTCACTCAGTCACGAGTGCCTCAAAGACTTTTTCCCTTGCTCAATCTCTTTGTTCACAACTAAGTGACCAAAGTGAACAAACTTGATTCTCAGCTCTATTGGGGTACTCCCGTGGGGGTAGGTGCCCGTGGGGTTGAGTCCTGGCTCACTTCCGGACACCACTGGGTTTGGCACCCTTCGATCTGGGTAGCCAGGTGAAATAACTTACACCTAATTCACTGGATGGCTGTGAGGAGTGTGAAGGCTTCCCCTTTCTGCATAGGTCTGACCTACATGCCTACCAATATTCCAAAATTATGTTCAGATTAGTGTTAACCTCCTAAATGGTATCTTCCAAGCAAGGACATCTGAAGCTGCTAACCATTCCGTACAGCCCTTAGAAAACATGCAGAAACTGCCAGAAAACCCCAAGTATAGCTTCAGTCGCATAAATGTATCAAGCAGCAGGGCTTTCTTGTTAGGAATAGAGAAGGTACACTCTGCGTGCATGTGCACGTGTGTGTCTGTGCACTTGGAAGGTATTCCTCATGCTAACGCAACACAGTGGTTGGCAAAGAAGTTAGCAATAAAAATAAAATAGCTTTAGAATCAGCATCTGAGCTGAAGTTGTTCACAGGAAATATGAACCATAGAATAGTTGCACATAGTCCCTAAAGGTTTAAATAAAAGCTGGCCAGGCGCAGTGGCTCACACCTGTAATCCCAGCACGTTGGGAGGCCAAGGTGGATGGATCACCTGAGGTCAGGAGTTCGAGACCAGCCTGGCCAACATGGTGAAACCCTGCCTGCAATAAAAACACAAAATTAGCCAGACGCAGTGGTGTGTACCTGTAGTCCCAGCTACTCAGGAGGCTGAGGCTGGAGAATTGCTTGAACCCGGGAGGCAGAAGTTGCAGTGAGCTGAGATCATGCCACTGTACTCCAGCCTGGGCGACAGAAAGAGACTCCATCTCAAAAAAAAAAAAGGCCAGGTGTGGTGGCTCACGCCTGTAATCCCAGCACTTTGGGAGGCCAAGGTGGGTGGACCACGAGGTCAGGATATTGAGACCATCCTGGCTAACACGGTGAAACCCCATCTCTACTAAAAATACAAAAAATTAGCCAGGCGTGGTGGCGGGCACCTGTAGTCCCAGCTACTCAGGAGGCTGAGGCTGGAGAATTGCTTGAACTCAGGAGGCAGAAGTTGCAGTGAGCTGAGATCATGCCACTGTACTCCAGCCTGGGCGACAGAAAGAGACTCCATCTCAAAAAAAAAAAAAAAGCTAATCAATTGGCTAATATAGATATTAAATCCATAACCTTGACTAGAGGTCACATGACAAAGGGCTGGTGGACAGAAAAGGGGTGACAATGCCCCCAAAGCCCAATGTACCAACTATTTAAAGGCAGCTAACCTTCAAAACCATTTATCATACAAGGCACCCGTACACATAAAAGAGCCACTCTCAACACGACACGTGAGATTTCATTTCTGTGTGATGGCCAACTCAAGTGCCTTCCACCTGCAGATGACCTACTTAAAAACATCTCTCAGGAGTGCTCTGCTAGGCAGAGGTGGGCTTGACCATCTCTGAGGGCACGAAGTCAACCATGGAGCAGCGGAAAATAAAGGCTGGCTGAGTCTTCTCCAAGGTGAGCACTACACTGCCACACGCTCGGCTCGAGGGCCCTCCAGTCAAAATCCCCATCACATGTACCTCCTCCCATGGGGGTCCCACCTCTATGTGGAGTAGCAGCATTTGACATTCTATGTCATGTGGATGAATGACTCTTTGGATGTTGTCAGTGGGCAGAGATCAGGTCATGTATGTTTACACAGATGGAACAAAGGATTTTTACCCCTTCAGCCAGATCTGGGACTCAATGTAAACAGCAAGATAACAACACAGGAAGGGTTGCAAACATTGTGCCTAGCACAGGGATGACAGCAGGGCGAATCCTGTAATGTCAAATGTCAGTCAAATGAATGAACTCCTGCCAACAGAAAGCCCCATTGTGATTTGATTCCCTTACCAGCAATAAACTAAAAGGCCAGGAGGGGACAGGGCTAATCCATGGCAATTTGTGAGTCCTGCCATGCCTATGTGTGCTATGGTTCTCTTCAGTCCAGGCTGCTCATTAGAAAGCTCATCTGCTCTCCTCTTGACCAAGCTCATCCAGTAAGATATTAATACTTTGCTACCCAAACCATAGATTTCACTCATCCTTAGTACAAAACTAAAACATAGTGCTGTCTGTAGGGATGAGAGATGGATTACCTGCAGATGGGGCTGGGGGGTGGTGGGGCTGGATCCTGTTCCTGTTTTTTTTTCCACTATCTATCTGACTTCTGAGAAGCTGCAGTGTCTCTAGGTTTCAGTTTTTTCACTGGTAACTTGCCTATCTACCCAGCCTTATTTACCTTCTGAGACTAATTATAAGACAATCATAAGTACCTTGAGGAATGCAAATTATTATGCAAAAACCTCACATTATTATTCTGAACTAGTTGCTGTCCAGCAAAGCTGAGGTTCTGGACCAGGCTCCAACTCCTGGATTCATGAGATGTGTGACCTTGGCCAAGTTACTGTGTACCTCTTTCAGCCTTGGTCTCCTTGTTGGTAAAATGAAGACAGCCATGGTGTGGAATTCACAGAGCTGGTGTGAGGATTAAGTGGGATGAGGTGGCTTGCATGGTGCCTGATTTCTAGTAATGCCCCATAAATGGTATCTGATCACACCCACGACAGCATTGCTAATCCCTCATCACAGGCTTCTGTCCCCCTTCCCGGGAGCCGACGTACAGATGGCTGTTACGAAACAGCCGCCGTAGCCACCACAGTTTATATTTCATTTAGGCACTGTGTCTACTTCTCACGAGTTCATATTTTTAAAGCCTCTGCTTGGGTACCAAAAGGACGGCAGAAGTGTTTTTCCCACTTCCGTGGGACCTGACGAGGAGGAAGGTGGGGGTGAGGAGAGGCCCCATTTCATACACAGCGACCCACTGAGATGGGAGGGACCACCCAGGTAACTTGCTAATTTCTTCCACGACTTCTCAGCTTTCTCCCTCCCCGCTTATTGCTCCAGCTACACCCTCTGTAGCTCTTCAGTCGCAATCAAATTGGGTCCATTTCAGTTTTCCTTCTACTCGGGCCGCTGTTTCTTCAGGCTCCTTCCCCAGGCCTGCCTCCTCTTGTTCACTGGGCCCCAGCTGAGGCCACCGATGCCCCCAACGTGCCAAACCATGTACCATGGCACACGTCCTCCTGCCCTCCAGGGACCACCCTAGTCCTTCCTCCATGAAAGGCAATGGAGAAAGGGACCACGTCACCAGCCATGTAGGGAGCAATCTGAGTGATAAAAAGGATGCTGGCCGGGCACAGTGGCTCTTGCCTGTAATCCCAGCACTTTGAGAGTCCGAGGCTGGAGGGTTGCTTAAGCCCAGGAGTTTGAGACCAGCCTGGACAAGATAGTGATACCCCATCTCTACACACACACAAAAAGTCTGGTGTGGTGGCACACGCCTATAATCCCAGCTACTCGAGAGGCTGAGGTGGGAGGACTGCTCAAGCCCAGGAGGCTGAGGCTATAGTGAACCACGACTGCGTCACTGCACTCCAGCCTGGGTGACAGAGACCCTGTCTCTTAAAAAATAATAAAATTTAAAAAGGGTGCTCCGTCATCTAGGCTTCAAGAATTATACTCCAACAATGTCCTTGACAGAAAAAAACACTCCGGCATACTCCGTGGAGGCTCTTCATCATATCAACCACTACAAAGAGCATTCTCGCGTCCAATTTCATTCTCGCAACAGCCAAGCACAGGGCTACCAGACTCCCGCTCTGCAGGTGAATGCAGAGGCTCGGGGAAGAGAACTTGCTCAAGGTCACGCAAGCTGGCACACCAAGGAGCTCAAGGTCCTGCAAGCTGGACACCAAGGAGCTGGGGGTTCTCTTCCCCACGCCACACCACACCCCACATAGGCAGGAATGAATACTCCCTGGAAGGCTGGGTCTTTTTAGCTCTGTGGTTGCTTCTGATTTTCCACGGATGTGCTCAAGTTCTGACCACACAGATGGTGGTGGTGAGGAGGAGGCTGCGGAGGAGGAATAAGGTGGAGGAGAGAGAAGGCTTGGGGAGATGGATAAAAGCTGAAAGCTGACCACTGAAATATACATGGACTTGGGATTTTTTCCATGCCTAAAATAAATTCTTAGAAATGTGTGTTGCTGAGGCCAAGTGGCCCCTCCCCAAAAAGCAACCGGGAAGAGTGTGCGGCCCGGCAGGGCAGGACCAAGGAGTCTGACTGCTAAAGTGCAAACATGAAATTTTTAGAGGAAGTCAGCAGGGATTGGGATTCTGTCATTTATGGTGAATCCCTAGGGAGGGGTTAAAAGAAAAAGTGTGTGTAAGGTCCACACTGTCTGTCCTGTTCCTGGCTGCATCTTCAGGGCTTAGAACAGTGTCTGGCCCCTGGGGCGCCTCTTGCGGAGTGAGTGAATGAGTGGGGAAATGAAATGACGCAGGGGGATGATGACTCTTCAGGGCTTGAGCGTAGTCAGCAGCATCCCTGCAGCACACACAGAAAGTCAAAGGCATGAAGGTGCTTGCTAGAAAATGCTGAGGGAGAGAAGAAAAAGACACAGGGACAGGGTCGGTAATGCCTGGGCCAGGTCTAGGGTGAGGAAACCCTTCTGGCAGCCTGAAGTACAGGCAGGTCCTGCCCTGGTGAGGCCGGGGAAACGTGTGTGTATGTGAGTGAGCATGCACATGCAGAGGTAGGGTGTGCGCTGGGCCCAGGCCTCTTGATCCCCAAGATCTTGGAATGTAGGCCTTTGTTCTTATACACAAGTGAGGTTCAACACACAGTCTCAGGGATACACAGAATTGGTTGGACATAAAAACGTGCTACCATTTTTGTAACCCTATCTTAGCACTGAAAAAATATTGGGAGCCCAAAGAAGCAAATGAACAAAAAGGAAGTGGCACAAGCCCTGTCTTGACCTCTGGAAGGCCTTGGCCACAGGCCAGACAGAATGAGAGTCTCGGGTGAAGCCAGAAGACTGCAAGGCCCCAAAGGTTCTGGCTCTTTCCAACCCAAATGAAAATGTATGTGTCACATCACAAGGTGAACCCAGAACGTGGATGTGGAGGAGAGACCTGAAGACTTCCACCCCAGGACAGGAATCCCGCTTAAGAAGCAGCTCCTTGGAAGCAATGTCAAGGTTATACATTAGGACAATGATGAAGACATCAACGAAATCCACGTGGAGCCACACCTATAAGACAGGCTCATGGGTCAGGGGGACTGCTTGCCCTCTGCTCACCCCTCCATGACCAGGGGCATGGGCCAGGTCACAGGCACCCCTCCCCATCCCGGGCAGCTTGCTCTGCCTGGCAGGTGCATCACCCTGAGAAACACACTGCACAGGGCTGGAATCACTGGTGCAATCCATTACCTGCTTTAACAGCCATGCCAGTCACCTGCCAAAGGTGCGCAGCCCTGCTCTGATTGACCCCACACACCTGGCTCCATCTCTTCCCCCATCAGGCCCTCTGTGCTTACTCCGTGTCTGTGTGTGTGCTGGGGACAGGGAGAGTGTGTGTCACAATATATCTGGGGTCAGAGGCAGTAGGAAGGGTCCATGGGCAGGATCCTGATCCCTTTCCACAACCCTGGGGTACTCATGGCATCCCATGGACAGACAGTGCTGGTCCTATCTCGGCACAACTGGTCCAAGAAAAAATGAAGGCAGGCTGGAGTTGCTTTCTCCCTGGCTACTAATTATATCCCTAGAATTCCCTGCATACCCACCCACGCCAGGATGAGAGAGAGAAAGAATGAGAGAAAAGGAAGAGATAAGGAAAAGGGTAGCTAGGATGGAGACACAGATATCACGATGATGGAAAGGAGAGAAATAATGCACCCCAGCCACTGTCCGCCCAGGGGCAAATAAGTGACAAGGGCACAGGGCTCAGCTTCCTCATCTCACAAGGAGAGTTACGTTGATGACAGAGACGGGAGCCTCTGCAGATGCAGAACGTAACACGGAAAAGGAGACCAGAGGGAAAGGACGGGGATGGAGCTGCAGGGGAGCAGGAAAGATGCTCTGCGTTCCCCTCCAGCCACTGCAGTCAAGACAGGGCAGGGCGCTACCTGCCTTGCCCTGACACTGCTGGTCCCATCGTGGCCTCCAGGCTGTTGGCACCATCCTCTTCACATTCCCCATGGAAACAAGGGAAAGGTCAGCGCTGCGGTTCGTGAGCCGTGGGGACTCTGCCCTTCAGGTCCCACTGTCCCCTCCCCTTTCTCAAGGTCACGCTTCCAGAGCCCAGCTCCAGAAGTGTTGCCAAGGGAAACATCCTATTTATCAATAAATAGAAGCAAATCATGTGTATTTATTTTGTAGAACCAACATGCATATGGCTGTACGTGTTTATGTGCAGGCTTGTGTTCTGTCTGCTTTGCACATCACTTGATTCACTTATTCTTTGATGACAAATCTATGAGATCTGCACTATTCTTAACACCCATTTATCCAAAGAGGAAACTGAGTCAGAGAGGTTAAGGGATGTGCCTTAACTCTTAGCCTCTAATGAGGTCACAGAACTAGTAAGTGGTAGAACTAGAAATAGCCCAGATGGTCCAGCTCTGGAGTCTCTGCCCTTGACCACCACACTGTGGTCTTACTGGGAGACTGTGCTGTTCCAATGCCCTCACAGCCTCAACGCACATGGCTAAGAGCTGAAAGAGAACTCTATGGAAATGGCACGGAAAGCCAAGAGCCCCTTTGGTGTTCACCTCTCGAAGCTGCCCGTCTGTGATCTGGTCCCATGTATTAGATAGAATGAAAGCCCTCAGGCACAGACGGAGTAGGCACTCAAAACATGGTTGGCTGAATCACATTTCCTGGTGTGCCCTCAGGGCCTTCTTTTCTCTTCTGAGTCTGGACAGGACTGGGGCACTCATAGACCCTCTCCAGAGGGGCACAGTCTGGTCCCTGCTCACTTCAAAAGGAAGACTGATTGTTATTTGTCTAAACTCACCTCAGCTCCCGAAGACTTCTGTTTGCAAGAGAAGCAGCTCAGACAATTGTCTGTGCATACTTAAAATGAGTTTTAACTTTCAAACCCAAAAGCTATTCTAATTTTGCCCCATCTTATGGCAATTCTATTTTTTTTCTAAGCTTGCAATTATGCAGTTTCAGGATGGGGTTCTCACAAAAAGGAACACAGCAATGGGACAAGGTGCCCTTGGATGAGACCCAGTTGCTGGGCAGGAGGGGCAGCTTTCTTGAGATAGTCGGGCCAGGCCATCGAGCCAGTTCCAGGAGCCAGTTTCTGGCCAGTGGAAGGCAACCAGCTGGGACTTGAGTTCTAATTCAATCAGGGCTACTAAGAAACACCTATTCTTGGAAGAATTGAAGTCACAAAGGTTACTGCCACTTGGCTCCTGGACACAAGCATTTCACTGCTTAAAAGAGCAGACGAGCATAAACCCAGAGGCAGTTGTTTTGTTCCCAGTAAACCTGTTCAACTTGGACAAGAGTCAGATTATCCCTTCTGGAAGGCAGCCTCCAAGGTGGATTCTTTAATTCTACAAGGTACTAATTTTGAGGTGTCCGGTAAGTGAAGGGAACACTGACCTTAATTTGGAGCTGCCACACCACTGGGGATTTATGCAGGATAACATATTTCCAAGAGAAATTCTACATGTGAGGAAACAGGCACAGAGCTTGCACAAATCACTCAACATCATCTACCGAGTGACAGAGCCTGGGTTTGAATCATGATTCCTTCCCGCATGATGCTGCCCTACCGCGGAAGCTCGCCACCTCAGTGCAGTACCTTAAGTGCTAATAAAACCTGTGGGCAAGCTACCTAAGCCCAGAGGATGAGGAGGCTAGTTGGGAATGGAAGAGGAGGGGATGGGAATATAAAAGGTTCCCGTGGACAGGAAGCCCTACCCAACCAACACTCAGTGGCCCGTATCATCTAAGCGTTCCAATACAGTGCAAGTGATAGCAAGCAGGTCTTTTAGGCGATGCCCCAAGAGAACTGTCCATGACACACAAAGCAAATGCATTTCTAATGTCATCAGCCCAGAAAAGAACAAGCTGAAGGTGTTTATGATTGAAGAAGCAAGGTGCTCTGCAGCTCAGCTTTCACTTTCCGGCAAATCAAATCACCCAAGTTAGAGTGCACTGTGAGCCTGTTTACAGAGCAGTTTCGTTGCTGGTGAATTTTTCTGTATTCTCTTCCTGTTAAAGGGGATCCCACCTTAGACAGGTCAGTTGCAAAGCATAACACAACCGTTCTTGATCTTCATACAAAAAGACAAACAATCTAGAGTGAAACATCAAAAGTGAAAGCTGTTAGACGCAGAACACTATAAGCCATACCTAGCAACATGCAAGATAAACGTCCCCCCGCCATCATCCCACGAATGTTCTCTGATGTGATAAAGAGCTTGCTCCTGGAGAGCACCTCCACGTAAATGCCAAGAACACAGAATACTACTCTCCAATGGAAACCCTCCAACTGATGTGGATACAGTGGGAAAGGCTGCCCCACTTCTACATAAATCCTAATTATTTCACAGCCTCCTTAGAGATGTTCTCTGCTAACAGACTCCATGAGGGAAACAGTGATGGAGATGGAAGTTATTTACTCTACTCACCCTCGTCGCGCCATGGACTCATTTCCTGGACAGAAGATGATCAGAATAAATGATGTGTGAGTCCCTTCAGAGATCCTTGCTGTGGTCAACTGAGGTGCTGGGCAATGATGTTTCAGGGCCCTGCAGGTGGCTTTCTTCCTCCCACCTCCTCCCCTGGCCCAGCCTTCCTCTGTGGTGCGTCCCCCTCTCTACATATCACCTCCTCCCAGTCTAACTCTGCAGCTCTGCCAAGATCTTGACGGAGAATGAAACACCAGTAGATAAAGCCTTCAGGTCCCTTCCCAAAGGAGTTTTCACTTTAATAAAGGCTTCATGAATATCAAAGGCTTCAGCTTCCTAAATCACTCCAGTGGTAAGGTGAGAACAGAGTGGCCGCTAGGTATGGACAATGCCAGTGAGTAGGGTTACAATTCGTGCATTTCAGCTTTTGCTCAGGTGCTCACAGGAGTATCACTCAGGGTGTTTCCAAAACCACTCTGTGCAGGTGCAACCCGTGTCACCTGCACCTCACACACTCACCTCTTCAGGAATGAGCACAGCAGGACTTTGCACATCACTACACAATAGGTGTCAATCCCTGATCCAGAGATGGCAAATAGGTTTTGGGTCTTGTGTCGGCCCCAATAGTCTGTAGCTGCCTGCGCATGCTGTTGATGAGGGTTCTGAATCCCTGCCTGGGGCCTGTGACTGCTGAGCGATAACTGCCATGGGTGAGGGGGACGAGGGTGCCAAGGGCCATGGGGCTGCCATGCTCAGTGGGGGAGGGCAAACCAGGAAGACACTGTTTCTCCCCAAACATCTGAGCATGCTTAAAAGACCAGCTCCCAGTGTTATTCAGAGCTCAAGAAACATATTTTGTGTTTGTAGAAATATAAACAGGTACTAAATTTTTAAGGTGAAATATGACTTTGTAAAATGTTCATATTTTTTGAAGTTATTCTGAAGAAAACAATCAGCGATACATGTGAGGTTTTTTCTTTTTTGATTCAGTGTCTTGCTGTGTCACTCAGGCTGGAATACAGTGGCTCAATCATAGCTCGCTACAGCCTTAAACTCCGGGGCTCTAGCAATTCTCCCACCTCAGTCTCCTTAGTTGCCGGAACTACAGATGCACACCACCACACCCGGCTAATTTTTAGTTTAATTTTTCGTAGAGATGGTGTCTCACTATGTTGCCCAGGCTGGTCTCTAACTCCCAGACTCAAGCAATCTTCCTGCCTCAACCTCACAGGTGTGAGCCACCACGCCTGGCCACAAGTGAGTTTTATAACAGCAAAACAGGGCAGTAAATGAAATGCCCACAAATTGAGAATGAATAGAAAAAAGTCTGGAATATTCATGATATAGAACTCTCTCTACATTAAAAGGAATGTTCTTGAGGAATATTTAAGAATATAAAAAAACTTTTGGCCAGGCAGGGTGGCTCATGCCTGTAATCCCAGCACTTTGGGAGGCCGAGGTGGGTGGATCATGAGGTCAGGAGTTTGAGACCAGCCTGACCAACACGGTGAAACCCTGTCTCTACTAAAAATACAAAAATCAGCTGGGCATGGTGGCAGGCGCCTGTAATCCCAGCTACTCAGGAGGCTGAGGCAGGAGAACTGCTTGAACCCGGGTGGCAGAGGTTGCAGTGAGTGGAGTTCACACCACTGCACTACAGCCTGGGCAACAGAGTAAGACTCCATCTCAAAAAGGAAAAATAAAAAATTTCATGAGAACACCTTTACAGAGATTACAGAGCAATATGAATAGTATGATCCAAACTTAAAACTTTGTCTTGCAAATCAGAATGACTAGAAGAATCTAAAGCTAAGCATCAGCCATGATCCCCTTCCTGTGGTAGGATTATAGGTGATCTCCAGTTTGTTCTTTATGCTTTTCTCAATACAATTTCTGGAAATAATTGATACCATGAAATATATGGCTTTTATGAGTAGAAAAAGAACAACAGGTGCTATTTTAAAGAAACAAGCACTAGAGGTCCCAACAGTCTTCTAACCTTTTTCCAGGTAAAGGGCCAGTTTCATTTGCAAAACCAGAGAGCAGGATTAGGAAGTTTCTCTCCCTCCCACGGCTGATATTCTGTGTATTCCACCTTATCTGCCTCAGCGTCAACTTATACTCCTTAAACAACATTTAGTCCTTAAATAAGCTTCTTATTCCTTAAATAGGAGGCCACAGGAGCCCATGAGGAGAGAGCAGGCATGGGGTCCAGGCCGTGGCCCTCCTTGAGCCTGCAGCCCTCAACTGGAAGCAGCCCACTGCCCCGCTCAGGGGGTGAAATCTCTTCATACGTTTCCAAAGGATGCCAGGCCCTTTCTTCTTTGGAATTTCCCTCTTCCCTGACCTAAGTTTCCAAGGAGGAATAAGAAAGCAGACAAGCAAAAGCACCCACACTTGCGGAGATTGAAAGCAGTACAGATCTCTAACGATGAATTTCTAATCAGGAGATGAATGTCTAATCAGGCTGAAAAAAATAAAAGAATCCCCCAAATGTTAACACGGTAGTCAAACACTTGTTTGTCCTTTCCATTGGCTGTAAATGCTTCTCTCTGTAACACAGGGTATGGCCTGTCAAGTCTCTGGGAAGGAAAAGCAGCTGTTGGCAAAACACAAGCAAGGTCCCTGATTAGAGGGGAGTTTATACAGATGAGTTGCTGGTGGAGGGCGGTGGGGGGACAGCAGCTAAATGCCAGACACACAAGGAAGTCACCCCCTCCTGCACTGCACTCTCATCTTCCAATTAGTTGTGAGCTGGTCCTAAACCCAGAATGCAGCTGAAATTTCTGTTGGACTGGATGCTTCAGATGTACAAAGGAAAATAACTCAGCATCTTCCTAATCCCTTATATGCAAAATAAATAGATGGTCAGGTTAGATTTTGACTTTTTAAAGACACAAGGTCATCTGAGCTTCCTATTTGACTTTTTTTTTTTTTTTTTTTTTTTTTTAGTACATGGAATAACCTCACAAGGAAAGAGGAAAATATCCAGGAGGTCATTGGCAGACAGAAGAGAGCTTTTTTCTTCCATCCCCTAGACACGTACTAGTGTTGGCAGCTGTCAGGAGCACTTCTACAGTTGTTTTTTTTGTTTTGTTTTGTTTTGTTTTAATCCTTCCACCCTCCCACACCAGCTAGAGCAGCTGAGAGTGGATTCTGGCACCAACAGCCGGGGTGTCAATCTGGCCTTTGTTGGTTGTGTGCCCTGTGTGAGATGCCTCAGTCCGCCTACCTTGCAGAGCTGTAAGGATTGAGTGAGCGCATATCAGCACGTGCTTGGGAAACAGCAGCTATTCCTACTGTTGCTGCTGTTGTTATTTTCATGGTCATCCCACAGCCTCTTTGTTTGACAGGGAGCAACAGAGAGAGCCAAGCGTGGGCAGAGTCACAGGGTGTCCAAGGTGGGATGCGTGGAGTCCTTCCTTTCTATGCAGGCACAGTTCCAAGAATACTTGAGAGAGCTGATGTGCTGTGTAATTTATTAGCACACTTCACTAAGAAGAGGACTCCAAGCTGGCAGGAGGCTGCTCCCTGCCTCCCATCAAACCTGGAGCTTGTTTCACCTGTCTCAGAGGAGTCCTGTCGTCCTGGACTGAGCCCGCCTGACCTGCTGTATCCAAGCTCCAGAGTTCCACACTTGGAAGCCCAGAATTCTACAGAAAGTAGAATTATCATCCAACACCACCTCAGAATGATCCTTCCCACACCAGCTAGAGTGGCTGAGTGGATTCTGGCACCAACAGCCTGGGTGTCAATCGGCCCTTTGTTGGCTGTGTATCCTGCATGAGATGCCTGAGGTCCTGGCCTCTGGCTTCTTGTTGGATGGTTCAGTTGGATGGTTCCTGCCCTCTGCAGAGCTGCCCCCAGGGCAGTCACTGTCACTGAATGGTCCGCTCCTATCACCATTGTTCAGGATGTTCATTCTATCCCAAGGATCACTGCAAACACACAACTCCAGGGTCAGAGCCTGAATGCTGTGCCCGAGGTCTGGGGCTGAGGCAGGTGACTCAGTTTTCTCCTCTACAGAATAAAGGGGTTGGACTAGGGATGTCTAAGGTTCTTTCTGGCTCTTTAAAAAAAACTAATTGCTTTCTCCAGGCAATAAGCAGGTCCTAACTTCATTGCTACTATTCCTACTGTAAGAAAGGGATAATCCTCCTTTGCTCACAAGACTGTCAGAAGGAGGCCTGGGATGGCATTTGTAAAGTGCTTAACACAGGGCCAGGCACTGACTAAGTGCTTAATAAACAGCAGCTACAATTACGGTCAGCTAGCAAGTAAGGGCCCACTCACAGAGAAAGGGCACTTCTCTGGGCATAGAGCTTCCTGCCTTTGGTGCAGAGCAGAGGTCAGTCTGGCTGGGTGCAGAAAAAGGCCCTTCCTAACTCCAAGTGCATACAGCCCCTAGATGAATGAGCTCCTAAATGCATAAGTGTAAGGTGCTGAGATTGACTACCTTGAAGCAAATGCCTTGAGATAAGAAGGAATGGTGGTTTACCTCCAACAGAAGAGAGGGACAGATGTCCTGCAGATGACTTAACCCTGATTCCAACATTGTGTGCCACTGTGGTTTGCAGAATCAGAGAGGTGAGCAGTGACTGTCATAGGCACAAAGAAGCAATGGCCATCCAGGTGAAATGCTGACATCAACACGTGATAAATCCTTCATAAAGGCAGAAGCTGTGATGATGATGATGAAGATGCCAATAACACATGGATGAAAAGATCTCTTGCCCAGAGCTGGAAGGGCCTTACTAAGACAGCTGTACCTGTGAATGAATCGCTTGGCTGCAGATCCCGGCCGGGCACTATGCTGAGCAACTGCAGCTCAGGTCCTGCAGAGTCCCCGAGAGTACTTTGCACGAAGAGAGCTCGAGTTCTGTAGTCAGGCATATCTGACCTACCGAACAGGTGCCCTGGTCAAGGTACATAATCCCACACAGCCTTCATTTCCCCATCTGTAAAATGGCAAAGATTAGAGTATCCACCTCAAAGAGTCATTGTGAGAATAAAATGAAATACTGTGCATAAAGCACAGTGCAGCATCCGGCTCATACATTTGGGATAAGCACTGGCCATCATTATGAATGCCGTCTGATGCAATGCTAGCATTTTGGGCATGTGCCTCCCAGTGCAGACATGGTAATCAGGCTCTTTCTTAAAGACCAGTGAGGCCAAATAAGAATGCAACTCTGGCTTGAATTTGAGTCTGAGGAGGAGCAATGTGATATTTATACAGACTGAAAATAGAAAACATGCACTCCTCATTGAGATCCCTTTCTGGCTACTCCTTTGAGTCCAAGTACAGAAAGCTCAGCAGGTGAGCATGTCACACGTTAGCAGACAAATACCAAACATACTTTTACTTCTGGAATCAAGAGCAGCAGAAGTTATTCTGGGAATGTTCATGTTCCTCCTGGTGGTGATGAGGATTTTAAGCTACCACATGGGACCTAGTATTGGACTGCTTCTATGCCCACCTTCCCTGGCCTCTCCGGTAGACACAGGATCTAACACAGCACAAAGAAATCAAATCACTGCCATTGCAGGGATTATAATGAAATGGTCATCAGGTGGTTCCTTCATAAACAGGATTTGCTGTCAAGTTAATGCTGAGTACAAAGATAAAATAGCCTCCTCCCGTCTTCCATCCCCTAAGGTCATAACTCAATCCCTTTTCTCTCTGTATTCAGAAATCTCCCAGTTACCTGGAGCCACATTGCTAGTTCATATATGCTCACCTACAAGCACCTGAGCATGCCTTTAGGGTCTGGGAAGAAATGACATCAGTAGTATAGCTTGGAGATGGGAGCTGGGATTTCTCCTGATTGTGTGTAGTTCTCTGAAGGAAGGTGCCACCTCTCTCTCCACCTCTGTTTGAACCACCGCCTACTTCTTGCCTGTTCTCTGTAAACCCTGCAAGGACAAATGCCCCCATAAAAGCTCTTCTCTGAGCTGCAGTACAGCCCTGAGCATGGAAGCTTCCCTTGCAGCCCGTAGATCTCAGCATGGCCAACATTTCCTGAAATGGGCAAAGACCATAATGTCTGGATGAGATAAGAAACCCTTTCACAGGCCTTCAGTCCTTCAGTCTTCTCAATAACCCTATGAATAGGGTTGATATTACTGTCTTTCATAAAGACACTGATGAGTCAACCCAAAGAAAGCAGCCATTGCCTGAGGTCCCAAGGTGATGTATGTACAAGGTGAAAGGAGCTGATGGCCAAGTCACGAGCCTGCAGAGCTGCAGCCACCTTGAGGGGACGTTTTTCTGTTCAACAAAGCCACCCCAAGGACTAGGGGGAGCCTAAGGGAACCCATCTGATGCCTCACAACCAACCATGGCCTCACTCACATGACTTCCGATTCTTACTTCCAGTCCAGCCACTGTCCTGAGCCAATCCCTAGATGTCCAACTCTAGGGGAGGAAAGACTGCGCCCAGCATGCCAAACCTCACCCACCTGCTGCCTGCCCAACCTGCTCTCCTGCTTTGTGACCAGCACCCCATTCACTTAGTAATTCATGCCACAACCCTGGCGACCTCCTTTCAACCCCTGCTCCTCACCTCCACTTCCACATCCCATCCACAAGCTCCACGTTCAAATTACTCTCTCCAAGTCCCATCTGCCCATTCCAGGATGCCGGCTCTCCACCAGGTCCCCTCAGGATCTCTTCAGGCTGACTGTAGTAGCCTGCTAATCAGACTCTGTTTCCATCATTATTAGAATTAACTTTCAAAAACACAATTCTCATCATACCATACCCCTCACTGAAATGCCCCATTGGCTCTTCAATGCCTACCTCCACTTTCTGTACCTTTTCAGTTTCAGCTGTACTAAAATACTCATGTTCACCAGCATGCAATGCCCTTCAGGCCTCCTTGCTCTTGCATTGTTAACTGGTCATCTTCCACACACTCATTCCTACTTCAATACCCAGCTCAACTAGCCTGTTGGCACCCCAGAGGTAGTTCCTCCTTCCTCTGCACCCTCGTAGTGATCGATCCACCTCTCTGATTTGATAAACAGAGCCAACAGTTACCAACCATGTCCTCTACAGTGCGAGGTGCTTTTCTAGGCACTGACACATGTTGGCTCATTTAATCTGCATCCTCCCCTCTGAAATCTTATCATCATCCCCATTTTACAGATGAAGAAAACTGAAGCCAGAGATTCAGGGACTTGCCCAAGTGGCGGGATTTGAACCCAGGAAGTCTGGCTCCTGCACCTCATTTCTTCATTACTACCCTCAGCATACTGGATTGTAATTACTGATTTCATGTTTATCTACTGTGCAGAGCTGGACAGGGCTAGGCAATTCCACAGAGCAGGGGCCGTGTGCTATTTACATTTGCAGACCCAGAGTGCAGCAAATGTCACACACCTGGTAGGAGTTTGTGATGCATCTGTCCAAAGGCAGATAGGAGGCCAGCTCCAGATGAATGGGTCTGCTAGATACTTTCTAAGTTAATTAAGTCAAATGGACTTCCCTTGTAATCACAGGATAGAAAACAAAGCCCTGTGTGGAAGAGACAGGCAGTACTTTCATGCCATTTTCCTTTACTTAATTACACAGAGAAATTAATCCTACTGTGAGTTACTAATTCAGATGCCAGACCAGTGTCACTGGCAGCCACAGGGCGCTCTGCCTCCCTGTGCTGGGCCCTCTGGGCAGGGCATACCTAAGTGGGGCCCTGCAGGGTTCCTTCCAGGTGCTCACCCTAAAGGCTGGTCACTTGTGGTGGAAACTGACACCCACCACTACCGTCTTGGGCAGAACCAGCACCTCCTTCCCCTCCCGGCTCTCCAAGTGGACATAAGCAACAGCCCCTCACTCTTGCTGCCAAGAATCTGTGCATCTGCAGGAAGGAGAAAGGAGATGCAAGGTACTATCCATGCCAAGCCCAGGTTATGGCTTTAGGGTTTCCAAAGAAAACCCTGTAAGCAAATGCACACCTGGTGAAGAGGGAAGCTATACAGGTCAGCACCCACACCTGTACTCAAGAACCAGGTGCATCAATCTCTGCTTTCAAGACCCTGTGTCTTGGGCTCAATCACAGCTTGTGCAGGGCTCTGTCCACCAAAAGGCTCAACAGTCAAGAGAAAGCTTAAGTGGAATAAAGACAGGAGCAGCTGAAGTGGCCCAAGAGATGGCAATGGCTGGAATCAACCCAGAAACGGTAAAGGGAAGAGTCAGAGTGCTAGGCCCTGTGGACACGGATGGCTCTGGGAGCCCCGCTCAGGAGTGGGTGGCCGTCTGCGGCCGTGTTCTCCCTAGAGAGGAGTGACAATGAGGCAAACACCATCCACGTGCACAGTGCTTACAGTTTATAAACCTGCTGTCACACACACTTCTGCCCTTCTCCCAGTGAACCTCTGAAATACCTATTGTTTTGCCCATGTTATAGATAAGGAAACTGAAAGCCAAACAAGGTTGCGAAATTTACCTGGACTATAAAGTTAGAGCCAGCACTGAACCCAAGTTCTGTCTCCAAGCCCAGAGCACTTCCTTTCTCAGCATGTCCCGCTGCCAGGTTGTGAGCACACTCAGGTATAGTATAATCCTGGCACCAACAGACTGGCATCCCAGGCAACCAGCCTACTCTCTGGGTGTCCCTGGGGAACATGCACACGCTGCTGCTGCCTGCACTCTGGAGCAGCCTCCTTCCCAGATGGCCTGCCGTGATGGAGCTGCACTTCTCAGTCTCAGCATCTTGGCCAGGGGCCGCCACTGGATGTCTCACGCTGCAGTGGACCAGTTGTGCACCCCAACCCTGATCAGAGGCTGGACCCTCTGCCAGCCTAGGCTTACCCCATCCCTGCCTGAGCAGACTCCCTGGCTGGCCCAGGCACTTAGCAGTGGGATGAGAAAACCACCCACTACTTTCTTCTGTCCTATCAGTGTCCCTACTGCTAACTTGGCTGAATTCCTTGTTCCATGAGCAGGGGACCCTTTTGTGCCTAGTCCAAGTCCCAGCCACCCTCCACGCCCAGGGTTCCCGGAGCCGCCGTCTGTGTTCTCTTCCCTTGCAACTCCACAGCTGGGCATCCGGGACAGAGTGTGAGCCACCCCTCCCCTCATTTCCTTTCTTCCCTTCACCCCAGCATGCTGGGATCACTGCATGCTGTGCCCTCGGGCTACAGTACCCACTCCTGTCCCTCTCCCATCCTACATCCACTCTCACAGAGATGGCAAAATCTAGCTCAGCTGCAACCCTTTTCATGAAACTTTTGTCATTCACAGCTTTAAAAAAAATTGCTTCCTTCCTCTGGATTCTCAAAGACTTTACATCTTTCTCATGCAAAGTTTTAACTTTCTACTGTGGACTACTGTTGGACGTTAGTACTGTAAGCTTTAGTCCTGCCCAATTCTTCCCTGTCAGCCCACGTGGTTACTGCCTACTGCAGTTCCTAGGCCAGCAGGAGCCCAGCAGGCAACCATGGAGCGCGGACATGCTCAGAGACAGCCCTGAGTGTCTCGCTGCAGAATCGCCTGTGGTTGTTGATGAAAGCACTCACTAATGATTTGTTCCTCTACCTGGGCATTTTGAAGTATTTTAATTTTTAACAGGACACAAGAGTCCTGTAAAGGAATGACATCCTAATGATGGAATTTCAGGAATGTCCACTCATGGGGACTTTTCCATAGTCATGTGAGGAGAAGAGCTGTTGACTGCCAGGCCTGTAGCGGCCAACTGTGAGCACCTGAACTGCACTGAACAGGCCACACTGATGATGGGCAAGGGAAGCTCTGGCTTTTGTATGCTGGCCACCCCTGATCTCAGGGAACTGGCTCACTGATCCACTGGATATAGGGTGACCAGCTATTTAGGTTTACACAGAACAAAGGGGTTTCCTTAGGCCCCGGATTTTCAGCTCTGAAACCAGGGCAATCCTAGGTAAACTAGGGTGGTTGGTCACCTGAGAGGAGGTGAGTCTGTTATGAAAACACGTGCAAGGTGTTCAGGCATCTTTAGATTTTTATAGGAGAAAAAGCATACACATTTATTTAATGTATATATGTGGGAGTCTTCAGAATGAAGACCCAACATTTCAATGAGTAACAGAAGCTTATATACTGTCTTGAGGTTACAGAAAGAATGGGGGCATGGGTCCTAGGAAAAGAGGTTATGGGATGGGGGAGAAGAGGAATGTTCAAGGAGGGATCTTTAAATGTCAGATGTTACTACTTCATTGTAAGGATGCAGGCTCTCTATTTAAAACTTTCCCTGACTAGAATTTGGTGGGGCAGCTGTCCGGGCAATGGTTCTCTGCCATCTCGCTATTTATTTTCCCTGCCATCTCGCTGTCTCTGTTTTATGTATGTATGTATGTACATGTGTATGTATGTAAATATTTGAGACAAGGTCTTGCTCTGTCACCCAGGCCAGTGTGCAGTGGAGCAACCACGGCTCACTGTAACCTTGACCTCACAGGCTCGAGCAATCCTCCCACCTCAGCCTCCAGAGTAGCTGGGACCATAAGCATGCACCACCATGCCCAGCTAATTAAAAAAATTTTTTTTTGTAGAGACAGGGTCTCACTATGGTGCCAGGGCTGGTCTCGAACTACCGAGCTCAAGCAATCCACCCACCTCAGCTTCCCAAAATGCTGGGATTATAGGCCACCATGCCCAGCATTTTTTTTTTAATTTTTGAGAGAGTCTCACTCTGTCACCCAGGCTGGAGTGCAGTGGTGCAAACACGCATCACTGCAACCTCAAACTCCTGGGCTCAGGCGATCCTCTTACCACAGCCTCCTAAATAGCTGGGATTATAGGTGCACCACCAAGCCTGGCTTATTTTAAAATTTTTTGTATTTTTTGTAGAGATAGGGTCTCACTATGTTGCCCAGGCTGGTCTTGAACTCCTGGCTCAAGCGATCCTCCCACCCCACCGCATCCCCTTGGCTTTCCAATGTGCTGGGATTACAGGTGTGAGCCATCATGCCAACCCCACAGTCTCTCGAGAGACTCCCAATTCCTCAAAGTTGGAGAGCAGCAGAGACAGCACTGGGAGCCAGTGGCTTCTGAAGGGGCCTGAGCCCCATGAGCTTTGCCTGGCTTTTGCCTCTATTTCTGGCTTCCCAAACAAAACCTGTTCCAGCAAAAGTCACACTGTGCTGATGCCTTTGGACAAAGCTGTGTGGGTGGGCAGGGTGAGTAGAGGAGGAGATGAAGCCAGTGGTGAGAGAAGCCCAGGTGAAGGCAGTAGATCAGGCTCGGTCCTCCCCTGTGACTTCGGGGATAAGCAACAGTGGTGATGGAACCCAGAGAAACAGCGTGCTTGTCCCGTCCGTCCAAGCACAGTTGAAAAGCCTTCCAACTTAACACAAGCTGGTTTTCTGCACAGACGGAAAGATTCCTGATTTCTTTGGGGGAATACTTTTTGCAAAGAGGGTCGGAGCAACCGGGGAAGTATTGGATGCTATATATTTCAACCATTTAGGTTACATTTAAAAGTACTACTGAACGTCATGTTAACAAAAACAACAAACAGGAGTAGTAAAAAGAGGGAACATTTGCCAGTACTTTCAATGTTGTGACTCTGGATCACTGGGTGAAATGTACATTTTGACTGCATGGGGTGGGAAATAGGGAAGGGAGAGGAGATCTGAGGGATGTATGTGTGGAAACTTGGCCAGCAGGTACAGAAGTGTGGTGAGACTGTGTAGAGGGACTCTGGGGAGAGACCAACCCAGGTTCAAATTCTGCCCCTGGCATGTGAAGCTGAACGAGGTGTCCTTGGGCAAGATACAATCCCTCCTAACAGTTTCCTACCTGCTGAGCACCCACCGAGCACTGGGCACGCGCTGGACAGCAGCCATAGGTGCCCTCAGTTCCCTGCGGGAGCAGGGGAGGTAAATTTTATTATCCACATTTTACAAATAAACAAAACGTAAAGGATAGAAGGAACCCATTCAAGGCCACACAGGCAGTAAGGAGCAGAACAAGAGCACTAGGTGTGTTTGACTCTCACGACACCACGCGGCCTCTTACCTCAGTCTTCTCATCTATAAAATGGGCATTGTGTGTGTTAAATTCTCTGCACTCAGGTGCTTAATTAAATATTAGTTCCCTTCTCTACCTCCCTTCCTCCTTTTAGTAGTGCTTAACCCATTGCTCTAAAAAGCTGTTTCCAGAAATACTGGTGTTGGTCAAGGGCCTGCTGACTTCTTAGCTGCTGTGTTCACTTTTTCCTGGAGCTGTAGCAAGGCGGCTGGTTATAGAAGTATTTCAGTAAATATGTTTTTAATCATCGAACTCAACTTTGCTTTCAGCGAAGGTGACAGTTAAAATTGCTGCCTTTCATTTTGCCAGTCAGCCCAGCATGCCACATGAAGAGGCGTGTATTTTTTTTTTCCCCCTCATATGATATATTCACACCCAGCGTTGGGGCTGAAATTTCAGTCTCGCGCACGTGTTATTTTAGGATTTCAGTGTAGATCCCCCCATAACTCACTTTGTCCTCTTGTTTGCTGAATCACAGTGTCTTCTGGCTGTGGGGCCTTGACTTTGAATTGAGAGACAGATGCTTGGTAATTACAAGGTTTCCTTCCTACAGCAGGGGATTGGCAAGTAATTGCCTTGTTTTTTAAGGGAGAATTTTAAGCAGTATTTTAAAGAGCCAGACCCACAGCTTTTACGTGACGGGAAAAATGAAATAAGTCCTTAAAGTATTTCCACCTCCCTTCCTAATGCAGAAAGGTTTTTGGAAAAGGACCCACGACTGAGATTCCACTGAAATGAAGGCAAGATAAAAACGGCCTGTGTGGATGGGCACCAGCCGTTGCAGCAGTGCTGAGTCAAGGCTGATTTCTGCCTCAACTCCTTTTAGAGCACACAAAGGTGACTCACTTATTATAGAGAAAATTAGAAAATACAAATAAGCAAAAGGAAAATACCATAAATCCCCACCATGCTGAGCTATATACTGTTTGCATTTTGGTAAATATCTGTCCAGATAAAATGAGGGAGAGTGTGTGTATATTTTACATTTAAAATATAAAAAAGAGTTGGCCCTCTTTTTTATAACCTGATTTTGCCCCCATTTCACATCACATAGTACACAAGTGTTTTGTCAGTAAATGCACATCTCCTCTCCATCCTGGCTACTCTAAGAGTGTTCCCTCAAGCAGCAGCATCACCCGGGAGCTTGCTGGACCTGCAGATTCCCAGGCCCCACCCTAGCCCTGCTAAATCTGAATCAGCATTTTAACAAGCTCCCCAGCAACCTGTATGCACTTTAGAGTTTAAGGAGTATTGTACTACCTCATTTTAAGTGGCTCCCTCATATTCCATGTTATAAATGTGCTATGGCTATGTACAATGGCTCATACCTACAGTCCCAGCACTTTGGGAGGCCAAGGCTGGAGGATCGCTTGAGCTCAGGAGTTCGAGACTAGCCTGGGCAACACAGCGAGACCCCATCTCTACAAAAAATTTGGCAGGTGTGGTGGTGCATGCCTGTAGTCACAGCTACTCGGAAGGCTGAGGTGGGAAGACTGCTTGAACCTAGGAGGTTGAGGCAGTAATGAGCTATGATTGTGCCACTGCACTCCAGCCAGGGTGACAGAGCAAAACCCTATCTTAAAAAAAAAAAAAAGCAGTATAATTTAGACAACCAACCTCTTATTATGTGAATATACGAGTTTCACTTTTCTAATTAGTACTGTGATGTGTATTCTTATACCAAATGTCTCTGCCTCTCTGTCTGGTAATCTGCCTAGAGCACAGTAGAAGATGCTCTTCTTAAGAGCGTTTGATGGAAGTTGCCAAATTTCACTCTTGTCAGTACTGGGAGTGCCCATTTTCCACGCAAATCCTAGCAGTTGTCTTTATCAATCTTTGACAGTT
Organism: Homo sapiens; assembly: GCF_000001405.40. Taxonomy (NCBI): domain Eukaryota; kingdom Metazoa; phylum Chordata; class Mammalia; order Primates; family Hominidae; genus Homo; species Homo sapiens. Next base: position 230,386,584 of record NC_000001.11, read on the forward strand.
TGATAGAAATAAATGGTACTTCATCGCCATTGGCTAACTTACCTGAATATTAGTGTGGTTAATCATAAATTCATTTACTTATTGGCCTTTTGTTTGGATTAAACAAATTGTTTAGGTCCTTTGTTGGTTTTGCCTTGGAGGTGATTGTCATTTTTCTTCTTGATTTGGTAAGACATCTCTATATATTTAGACATTATCTCTTTGAAATGTGTTATAAATATAGCCCCGATTTCAAACATGGTGTTCTGCCCAGCACTGGGCTACGTTTCAATGGCAGGAAAGGATTTTGGAAAAGGAAGCCTGAATTAGGGGAATATATATGGCATCACTATCTTCCTTCTACCCACATAAATAGCATCGCTTGTGGAAGTGAGTTCAAGTTCCTAACCTAACGTCTCCAAACTGAGATGATGTGTCCCTGCTACTTTAGGGGCCCGGAAGAGCCTCACTGAGCTCTGAAAAGGAGCATTCCCATTTCCTTCTATTTTTAGATGCTGGATTGTTTTAGAGCCTGGAGCTGGAAGCACTTCTCTTTAATAAACCTTATTGTCTAGCAGATAGGAAATGGTATGTGGAGTGTCACTTACATAAAATTTTAACTTTCTAAAGGGCAAGCAGGCAGAGACATAACAAGAGATGCGCTTTGAAGCTTTTCATGTTTCTAAATGGCCTTCCTCATAACCTCATTTCCAGGATTCATTATTTCTGACCCAACAATAAATTAGGCTTACTGATAGTACCTTTCTCTCCTGACCCTGATTCAATTACTTATTAAGGAGTCAGCATGGTTTAGATTTAGAAGCAGAATAAAGAATAAAGGGGGCAGAATACAAGGTGGCCCCAAACAGGCTGCAGGCTTGGGGAAGCGCCTGTGGCCTCACTGAGCTGTCTGTGCATACCCAGCATCCAGGAGGCCAGGCTGGGGGGAGGCTCCTTAGGCCATTAGGTCAGGTGACTGAATCCAGGCCTGGTGGGAAAAAAGAGACTCACCTTGTTTCTTGGCAGGTACCTGGCTGGGCTCTGCTCTATGCAATACTTTCCAGCTATTCAGAGACACAGAGAGGCCATGGCTTGTAGAAGGGTGGTGATTCGGGTTAAGGAGGTCCACAGCCCCCAGGGAAGAAGTGGAATAGCCATGGTCTCAGCAGCACCTTCATCATTACTTTCAAGCCTGAAGTGTCCAACAACCTCATTCTGAATGTTCCCACACGCTCCTAGGCTCGGGCCTGCAATTGCATTCCAAAAGGTAAGGAGGTATCGGCCAAGCAGATCACATGGTAAAGAACATTTTCAGGAATACGCCGTAGGGTTACATAATTGGAGGGGAAGTTACGTGGAGGGATGTGGCAGCAAAGGAGGGGCTGTGTATTTTGACCCAGGCCAGTGAGAGCAATGGGTGCCATCAAGGGGCTGCTCCCTGCGTCCCCCAGTGATGGACGTAACTCAGTGTGAAGCTCTCTCTACTGCTCCCAGCAGCCCCCGCCAACCAATTCATGTTGGCCCCAAAGCTGAAATGTGCATCCCTGCTCTACTGCAATGGAGAGCCACTGAAGGGCTGTGCATGAGGATGGCCAAGACGGTAACTGTAGTTTTAGAAGATCACAGACTTAGGGAGACTCGACACAGGGTGGCTTGGAAAGGACGAGAGCGGACACGCCTTGCCAGCTGAGGCGCATGGATTTCCCACAAGGCTGAGAGCAGGACCCTGGCCTCCTGGAAGCCAAGCAGCGATGGGGTTGAGTGAGACAGGCACTGCCCCCTCACTCAGACGCGCACTGAATCGTCCTCTGGCTGCACATGACAACTGCGGCCACTTCCCCTTGTTGGCCACATTTTTTTTTTTTTTTTTTGAGATGGAGTCTCGCTCTGTCGCCCAGGCTGGAGTGCAGTGGCACGATGTCAGCTCACTGCAAGCTCTGCCTCCTGGGTTCACGCCATTCTCCTGCCTCAGCTTCCCAAGTAGCTGGGACTACAGGCGCCCGCCACCACACCCGGCTAATTTTTTGTATTTTTAGTGGAGACAGGGTTTCACCATGTTAGCCAGGATGGCCTCGATCTCCTGACCTCATGATCCACCTGACTCGGCCTCCCAAAGTGCTGGGATTACAGGCGTGAGCCACCGCACCCGGCCTGTTGGCCACATTTTTAAATGCCCAAGAATGAACTGCAGAGAGGGTGAGGCTGGGAGCCTGCTTTCTTTGCAGGCCACGTGTTTTACCTCTCAGGGTGGCCATGACCCCCCTGGAAAGAAAAGCAGCAAAGGAGCTGCTAGCACCTTGGGCTCTGGTTGACTCAGGCCACAGAAATGGGGAAAGGAGGGGCCTCCTGGGCTGGAGACAAGAAAGGGCAGGAGCCAGGGGGGCCCTCAGACATGAGGTCTTGTCGAGTGGGCTCTCTCCTATGCCCACCACCAGCCCCAATGCCCTGGGAAGACTGGGAGGAAGCTGCCTTGGGCTCAGACCGCTGCTGCAAGGAGACAAGGTATGTGGGCCTAGCCCTCCCCAACTGACCATTTGACAAGGCTTCGATGCAAATCTCTGCTATGATGCAAAACCCTTGGAGGTTCTACGCAAGTGATGACATTTTCTTTCTTTTTTTTTTTTTTTTGATACGGAGTTTCACTCTTGTCACCCAGGCTGGAGTGCAGTGGCGCGACCTTGGCTCATCGCAGCCTCTGCCTCCGGGTTCAAGCGATTCTCCTGCCTCAGCCTCCTGAGTAGCTGGGATTACAGGCGCGTGCCACCATGCCCAGCTAAGTTTTGTATTTTTGGTAGAGACGGGGTTTCACCATGTTGGCCAGTCTGGTCTCGGACTCCTGACCTCAGGTGATCCACCCGCCTCAGCCTCCCAAAGTGCTGGGATTACAGGCTTGAGCCACCACGCCCAGCTGACATTTTTCTTATAAACATCAATGAGCATGTATACGTTAAACTTTCCATAAAATATGAAGGGCTCCTAGGACACTCAAACCTTGTCCCTGGACTTGTAGGATCTCGGCCTTCAGGATGTCTGCAGGAGAGAAGCAGGGCTTTTCCATTCCTTGGACACTGCAGGCACAGTACCCAGAGAATACAGTTGAGAGAGCTGTGGAAATGTTCAAGCCCGGAATAAGGTTGTATTAACCCCATAATATAAAAAGTAGGTTGAAAAATCCAATTAGTAAATGTTTCATTAAAATAGAGAAAGTTTAGCCTTATGCCAACTGGTCAACAGCAACTCAACTCATACACTATTTAGAATGTATAGGTGGTGTAGGATGTGGAAGAATGGAATGTTTGCAATGATTTGGGATGGGACCTGAGGACATCACCCTGTCCCAAAGTGACACTGCCTAGGGCAGAAAAGGTATCATCCTCACTCCCCTCCCTTTTATAAAGGAGGAAACGGAGGCCAAGAAGATAAGTGACTTGCCTGAATCACACAGCCAGAAGGTGGGAGGGTGAGAAAAGAGAACACAGCTCTGGAGTTAGAGGCTGCCAGTCAGATTGGGATAGGACCCAAAATGTACCAATCATCAGGCGAGGCTGCTTTGTGACATGGCGGGACACAGCAGAGAGTGGGGAACCCTGCAACCAGAAGAACTCAATACCCCTCGCTCTGCCCACCATAAGTGGGTGACCACTGCTTCTTTACTGCTGCCAATCCAGTTCCATGGTGAGCCTCTATCTTCCAGGTGAAAGGGACCCAGATGCTCTCTCACCCACCCATGCCTTTGGGTCTACACAGCCTTCCATCAGAGCTGGTTTCAGCTTCCTCACACCCTCCTTAGAATCACCAGCAGAAGCCCAAACCCCATTCTTGGCTCCTCCCAACCCCTCTCACCTCACCTGAACATCTCACCCCTCTTCTGGGGTGCATCCTCTCTGGCTGCAGCAAACCAAATCAGCCTACATTTGTTTGACAATAGTTGTGTTACTGGTGGGCTTTCAAAGGGTGAGGGCAAACTCAAGTCTAAGGTCGGGCATCTCACCCAGAGGGTGGAGGTGGTATCAGAATCACATGTAGCATCTCCAAGCCCTGCCGCCCATCCCTACCTGCCCACTCCAGGGAGCCTGGGTTGCTCCTGCAGCTCAGAATCATGGGGCCAGGGAAGGCTTCCTGGGACATCTCAAGAAGCCCACTTGTTGGGTGTGTGTTTTAGCAGAGGCTCATTGCCAGTTTTTTTTGTTTGTTTGTTTTTGAGATGGAGTCTCAAAAAAAGGCTGGAGTGCAGTAGTGTGATCTTGGCTCACTGCAACCTCTGTCTCCTGGGTTCAAGCGATTCTCATGTCTCAGCCTCCCGAATAGCTAGGATTACAGGAACGCACCACCACAGCCAGCTAATTTTTGTATTTTTAGTAGAGACAGGGTTTCATCATGTTGGTCAGGCTGGTCTCAAACTCCTGAGCTCAAGTGATCTGCCTGCCTTGGCCTCCCAAAGTACTGGGATTACAGTCATGAGCTACCACGCCCAGCCTCATTGCCAGTTTTTATCCACCTCCATTTCATAGTGACTAGTCATAGCGACTGAGCTCAGTCCATCAGGAAAGCACCAGGGCATGTCACCGAGGCAGGACAGTTTGCCTGAGTGTGGGGGGTGGGGCGGGAGGGAGCTGCTACCAGCCTGTCGCTGTGGCTGACATCTGGAACAAAGCAGATGGGGACTTCATGGTAACATCTCCGAGGGCCTGAGACATAGTCCCAACTCACCCTCCTTTTAGTCATCAAAACATTTAGGAAAGATTCAGAAATTGCGCATGGGATTACAGTTTAGCAATTTTCCGATTTTGCCCCCTCATTTTCTCCCCTAGGAAAAAATATGAGTTTGCTGTCTCCTTCCCTGCAGGGATGTAATAGAGGTTTTACGGATAGAGAATTTCTCAAATTGCATCATTACAAAATGGTATATGCTAAGGTGTACCTTATGTGTGAAATTTCCCGGAATCAGGGAAAAGTATAACACACAAAGCAAACGTCAAATCAGACCCTTTCTCCTCACCCCTCTCCCTCCTCCTCACACCTTAAGACCTCAGTGACAAGCTTTTGCCTCCTGCAGTAAAACAATTTCCAAGACCAAACTGTGAGGTACCAAGGAGAGAGAGACCTGTATTTGGCCATCCATAAAACACAGCTCCTACTGTATTTTGGTGCACTTAGGAGGATATGCTATTTCCAGAAAAATAAACCTCTTCCTCACCATTTCTAGTAGCCAATAAATAGCAGAGACTTTATAATTATTAAGCAGCCCCAAACACCTGGCACTGATCTTCGTTAAATTCAATAAAAAACGAGCCCCATGCTGCATTTCTTTCTTCCATGCTCAGCAGTGGCCCGAGCCTACGCCAGAGAACGGGGCCAAGCTGCCCTTCTCCCCCAAAGGGAGCCCGACACAGGAGTCCTGCTGGGCGTTTGCTCATTTTAATGATGCGGTTAGAAAGGAACAGAAGATGAAATGAACTTTTCATAGGAAAAGGCTGGACCGAGGCTTACTAGGACTGTGAAGCTTCACTACCAGATCTCCAAACGAAAATCCTACTTGCTTTGATTTTTTTCTCTTAAGAGTGCCTTGGTCATGTGTCATGGGGCTGATCCCCAGCTGCCACCAGCTTCAGATAACCTCAGTGCTTCCTGGCCACATCCCCCCACACCGGGGCTGCCCTGAGAGGCATGGGGAAAGTCACGGGTCCTTTGGGGATAAGCACTGACCCACGGCCCTGGAGGGGCATCCCTCCAGGATAAGAGGATGCCTGTGCCCCACGTACCCCTGCGTCTCCCCTCCTTCTATCCCATTGGGTGAGAATCAAGCTGGGGAAGGCCAGAGCCCGAGGCCCGGCTGATGAGCCCCAGGCTTTGATGACAGGCCTGCTTGACAGGAAGCCTTCAGATGTCAGTTCATTCCAGGCAGATCTTCTCCCCCTCCAAAGCTGAGTTATAAAGCACCCGAGCTTTGTTATTTTATCTCCGGCTCGCAGGAGCCCTGGGAGGGCAGCTGCTTTGGAACTTTGAGGCTGCTCAGCCCCTGCCTCCTCCGGACTCTCCTCCTTCCGGGGCTCCTTGCAAGCGTGTCCTTCACCAGAGGACTGTCAGGACTTCCCACCACCAAAACCTGTGCTCCACACCCGCTCCTCAGCAGCGGCCTGCTCTCACCCAAGGAAATCCCCCGTGCGGCCCTGAGGTCCACCTCACAATGGAGATACAAGCCCCACAGTGCTTGGCTCTCCGGCCTGGGAAGCTGGAGGGGCTGAGCTAGAAAAGTTCAGCCCAGCAGCATGAAGGCAGGCCTGGCTGACAGCACACTAGACCCCGTGGGGTTCAGCCCCAGAGCCTGGAGCAGCAGGAGCAGACAGCTCTCCAACCCCAGCTGCAAGAGAAGAGGAACTGGAGGGAGAGGCACAGGAAGGGGAGGAGGAGGAAAAGGGAGAGCAGTGGTGGGCGGGGGAGCAAATCAGGGAAAAGGAAAGGGGGAGAGGGAGAAAGGAAGGAAAAGAGGAGAGGGATAGGAAGGGGAAGGCGGAGGAGGAAGAGGAAGGAGGAAAGGGGAAAAAGAAGGGGAAGGGGAAAAAAGAAGGGTAGGGGAGGAAGAAGAGGAGGAAGGAAAAAGGGAAGAGAAGGGGAAGGGAGGGGGGGAGGAGGGAGGAGGCAGGGAAGCCAAGGGAAAGGAGGAGAGGAGGAGGAAGGAAGGGAGAAGAGCAGGGAAAAGGGGGAGGAGGAGGGAGGAAAAAGCGAAGAGAAGAGAAAGGGGAGGGGGAGGGGCGTGCTGTGCTCAGGGCCAGTGCAGCCACTGAACACAGGAGACCACTGGCGGGGATGCGAGGAGGAGGAGAGCAGGCGGACTCTAGGAGGCTCACCCTAGGACACTTCACCATCCCACCTTTAAGGAGGTGACTCACAGATTCTCACAGGACACGGGAGGGTCTCTGCTGCCAGAGGCTTCCACCCAATCTTAGCGCCTGCTTTAAGAGCCTCAGAAGGAGCTCAGAAAAGAAAATAATAGGCCGGGCGCGGTGGCTCACGCCTGTAATCCCAGCACTTTGGGAGGCAGAGGCAGGCGGATTATGAGGTCAGGAGATCGAGACCACGGTGAAACCCCGTCTCTACTAAAAATACAAAAAATTAGCCGGGCGCAGTGGCGGGCGCCTGTAGTCCCAGCTACTCGGGAGGCTGAGGCAGGAGAATGGCGTGAACCCGGGAAGCGGAGCTTGCAGTGAGCGGAGATCGCGCCACAGCACTCCCGCCTGGGCGACAGAACGAGACTCCGTCTCAAAAAAAAAAAAAAAAAAAATAATAGGCCCGGGGCCCGCCAGTCCACAGCCTGATTAGAAACATGTGGCTTCGCAAGGCTCTCCCTCACTGGCTCCCCGCCCTAGAGTCCGCCACACCTGCCCCGGCCTGGCATCCTCTGCAGGCTTCCAGCTCTCCCACTCTTCTGGCTCATTCCGCCCCTGACTGGGCTACAAATCTTACAGAAACATGGACTTCTTTTATCCAAATTCTACCTATGGCTCCTCAGAGAACGCCACCCCATATCCTATACTCATATTCAACAAACCATGCCTATTTTATCTCCCTGGAGATCAGCCACTCCTGGATGGGGATCATCCCACAGGGCCAGGGAGGGTGCTCCCTCCTGTCTCAGGCCTGAGGACCAGGGCAAAGCATGCTAGATAAACGTGCCCAGTACCCTCAAGAACCTCCGTTTCGTTTCCCCTAAAAAACTCCACAGGGACCAACTCTGACTCTGCCCTTCTATTGTGCTACAGGAGTGGCGGTTTTCGAGTATGAGGAGGGGGAGCCTGCTCCTAGGATTTGCTCATTGTCAGGCACTGCTAATGGTGCTCCTCCCCCGCTGCCCACACCCCACCTCTGCTCCCCAAGCCCCTCCCTGTGCTGCTCCTCCCCCTAGTTGGCCAGGGTCCTCCAATCCTCCCGCTGTGCTTCTTCCCATCCCCAAGCTCCTTTCACTCCCTGCCCTCCTCTCCTAACCCCAAGCTCCATTCATTGCCCACCCCCCTCCCCTCCTCTCCTTGTGCTCCTCTCCATCCCCGAGCTCCTCTCTCATTCCTACCCTCCTCCCCTCCACTCACGCTCCTCCCAATCCCCAAGGTCCTCTCATTCCCACCTTCCTCCCTTCCTCTCCTCACGCTCCTCCCTATCCCCGAGCTCCTCTCTCATCCCTACCCTCCTCCCCTCCACTCACGCTCCTCCCAATCCCCAAGGTTCTCTCATTCCCACCTTCCTCCCTTCCTCTCCTCACGCTCCTCCCTATCCCCGAGCTCCTCTCTCACTCCCTCCCTCCTCTCATGCTCCTCCCCCCTCTCCTCATGCTCCTCCCCATCCTCGAGCTCCTCTCTCACTCCTACCCTCCTCTCCTCCACTCACGCTCCTGCTGATCCCCAAGCTCCTCTCGTTCCCACCTTCCTCCCTTCCTCTCCTCCCACTCCTCCCCATCCCCGAGCTCTTCTCACTCCCTCCCTCCTCCCCGTCCCAGAGCTCCTCTCTCACTCCCTCCTCCCCTCACACTCCTCCCCATCCCCAAGCTCCTCTCCCTCCCTCCTCCCCTCACACTCCTCCCCATCCCCGAGCTCCTCTCCCACCCTCCTCCCCTCCTCTCCTCACACTCCTCCCCATCCCCGAGCTCCTCTCTCCCTCCCTCCTCCCCATCCCCGAGCTCCTCTCTCATTCCCACCCTTCTCCCCCCCTCACGCTTCTCCCCATCCCTGAGCTCCTCTCTCATTCCCACCCTCCTCTCCTCCTCTCCTCACACTCCTCCCCATCCCAGCTCCTCTCACTCCCAACACCCTCCCCTCCTCTCCTCATGCTCCTCCCCATCCCTGAGCTCCTCTCACTCCCACCCTCCTCCCCTCCTCTCCTCCCACTCCTCCCCATCCCTGAGCTCCTCTCTCACTCCCTCCCTCCTCCCCTCCTCTCCTCACACTCCTTCCCATCCCTGAGCTTCTCTCTCATTCCCACCCTCCTCCCCTCCTCCTCACACTCCTCCCCATCCCAGCTCCCCTCTCATTCCCAACCCCCTCCCCTCCTCTCCTCATGCTCCTCCCCATCCCTGAGCTCCTCTCTCATTCCCACCCTCCTCCCCCTTCTCTCCTCACACTCCTCCCCATCCCTGAGCTCCTCTCATTCCCACCCTCCTCCCCTCCTCTCCTCACACTCCTCCCCATCCCTGAGCTCCTCACTCCCACCCTCCTCCCCCCTCCTCACACTCCTCCCCATCCCTGAGCTCCTGTCATTCCCACACTCCTCCCCATCCCTGAGCTCCTCATTCCTACCCTCCTCCCCCTCTTCATGCTCCTCCCCATCCAAGTTCCTCTCTTACTCCCACCCTCCTCCCCTCCTCACGCTCCTCCCCATCCCTGAGCTCCTCCCTTTTACTTCCCACCCTCCTCCCCAACCTCAAGCTCCTCTTTCTTTTGCTTCCCTCTTTCTTCCCTTTGCTTCCCTCTTTCTGCTCCCTTGCTTCCGTCTTCCCTTTGCTTCCCTCTTTCCTCCATCTTCCCTTTGCTTCCCTCTTTCTGCTCCTCCTACTGCTCCACCCTCCACTCTCCTCCCCTTTACCCCCCATACTCATCCCTTTTACTCCCACACTCCTCCCTTTTACCCACATTCCTTTTTACCCCCCCACTCTTCCCTTTTACTCACATTCCTCCTTTTTACCCCCACACTCCTCCCTTTTACCCCCACACTCCTCCTTTTTACCCCCACACTCTTCCCTTTTACCCCCACACTCCTCCCTTTTACCCCACACTCCTTCTCCTCTACTCCCTATTCTTAAGTTACTCTCTTCACCCTCCTCCCCCTTTGCTCCCCAAGCTCCTCCCTTTCACTCTCCACCCTCCTCCCCCATCCCCACCATCCTCCCTTTCACTCTCTATCCTCCTCCCCCTCAACTTCCCCCTACTTCCGCAGCCAGGGTCCTCCTCCACTCACCCATACTATCAGGTTCTCCTTCCAGCCCCCTTGACAGCTAAGGTACATTTTGTTGCCCCCCCTCCCCCTGCATTCATCTGGAATGGACCACAAGCTCCTGAACATGAGACCACACTCAACCCAGAGACACACCTATCCTGAGGCACCTGAGGACGGCACACATGGGGGCATCATAGGAAGGGCCTGGCTTTGGAGTTACAAAACCATGGTGTCCGCCTGAAACAACACCGTGTACTGACATGAGATCCCGGCAGGCCACTCTGCTCTCAGAGCCTCCATTTCCTTGCATTTAAAACCGGAAGCATACACTGGCGGAGAGGCACCCTCCCCATGGGATTGTGTGCGGAGCAGACCAATGAGTGTGACAAGCCTGTTAGCAAGGTGCTATGTACAATGGCCACTCACATTTAAAATCACGCTGGAAGTCAGAGCACTCCTGGAAATGTCCCACACCTATGGCCCTTTCCAGGGGTTTGGAGTCACGCCTTGGGGGTCCTTTCTAAGGACAGCTGGGAGGTGCACTGTTGTCACTGGAGAGGGAGTTCACCTGGTTTATGCCGAATCCTCGGCTCTCTGTGACCCGATTCCAAGAGATGGGAATCAAGACTCCACTGAGGCCTCCCATTGCCCACCCGCACACGCGCCTGCATGCTCACACCACACCTTCACCCCCGCCACTGTGGAGGAATTCCTTCCCACTGTTCCCGCTCAGAAATCTGGATGCCCACCTTGCAAGCTGTACTGCTTTATCACGTGGAACTACAACCCTGGCTTTGCTAACCTCAGTGGCTACATTTTCTAATTGTCTCCCTAATTATGGAATTCAAAGTAAAAACACCACCATAGCATTCCAGTAGCAAAAGTAAGACTTTCATAATTTTGAAGTTCTGAAGCATAGCAAAACCAATACAGAATCAAGATTTGCTCGTTTCCTTAAATCTACCCAGTCTTCTAATTCCTAGTTTTTGACACATAAAGTGACATTTTTATAAAGATGAATCTTTAAATGGCAAATTAATCCAAGCAAGAGGAGATTTAAGAATATTTATCAAGTTCATGCCTGAGAACAATGATATAAAAGTAATTTTAATTACCCAAAGATGTCACTGACATAAAAATAGCTCTGGGATATTTTTCCCCAAATCTCCTCAAGGAATGCCTGGGCATACACAGAGGCAAAAATCGTGGGCCTGTGACTTAAGATGGTGATCTCTTCCACAGCTCAAACACACAGCGAAGTCAGACCTCCTCAAGGAAGATCGGCAGGCTCAGAGCTTCTGAATTGGATGACATCTTCCTTATGTGTCTTGCCTTCTCTAAAGCTTAACCACAGGATGCTGCCGGGAAGAATCCAGCTCTATGTGAGAGCACAGAGCTGGCTTTGGGGGTAGCGTCCCCTACATGGGCACAGACTCCTCTTGCTCAGAAGCTATCACCACCCAACTGGTGGCTGTGCCCTGGAGAAGGAGTCGTTCCCCTCTCACAGATCTGCAAGGCCAGATTTAATGGGTTACCTTCCAGTCTGAAATGGCACATCTGGCACCCAGGAACTCCTATAGGACCCTGAAACAGTCCCAGTTGGCAAAAGGCTGAGTGGCACAGAGCTGAGACCGCTCCATCTGAACCCCCAGAATCCAGCCTCCCTGCCTTGCTTTCCTGTCTAGCCTTGCACGTCTCATCTTGTAGGATGGTACATTCATTTGCTAAGCAACCATAACAAAGTACCACAGAACGGTGGCTTAAACAACAGAACTTTATTATCTCACAGTGCTGGAGGCGAGAAGTGTGAGATCAAGGTGTTGGCAGGCTTGTTTCCTGCTGAGGCCTCTCTCCTGGCTTGCACAGGGCGGTCTCCATGTCTTCGCATGGGCTCCCCCATGTGTGTCTGTGTCCTCCTCTCTTCTTACTGGGACACCAATCAGATTGGATTAGGGCCCACCCATATGATTTCATTTTACCTTAATTACCTTTTAAAGACCTCATCTCCAAAGAAGGTCACATTTTGAAGTACTAGGGGTTAGGACTTCGACATATGAATTTGGGGTGGACACAATTCAGCTCATGACAGATGGGAGGTGCTGTTCAGCAGAACTAGACAGAACTAGGCAGTTCTAGGACAGAACTAGAGACAGGGGTCTTGGGCAAGGCCCTCTCCCCAGCAGACCAGACCATAAGCCCTCAGTAGGCAGAGCCCACCCAAGACCTCTGGGCTCCTGGCAGTGACCCCACCCCACAGCTCCCAGAACTGGGTTTTTAGGGGGTGAAGATCTCGAGCATCAGTGCATTGCTCTCAGTCCTCAGCACCACCTCCTTAAGGGCCTGCACTGTCACATCGGTAAGATTCAAAACATAGCCATGGGCCAGCATGGAGTCCCCCAGAGCAGCTGGTCTGAAACAGAAGCGGAAGGGCTGGATGCAGAGTGCTCCAATGAGCTCGGGGCCAGGCTCCGACAAGAGGGAAAGACAGACCCAGGAGCCCGGCAGAACCTTTTCCCCACAAAATTCAATGGCTCTTTCAAAGTCTTGTTTCTTGGCAACCCTCACAGGTTACTAAGGGGGGGTGGCTAAGTGTCAGGTGCAGCTCATCAGTGAGCAAGAACACACCGAGACAGGAGCCTGAGTTGGCAAATTAAAATACAGGACAGCTAGCGCTATTTGGATTTCAAATAAACAAGTAATTTTTTTCATATGTAAATACGGCCCATGTAATGACCGGCAAGCTTAAGCTGAACAATTATTGTATATCTGAAATCTAAATTTTACTGGTGTCCTGTATTCTGTCTGGCAACCCTGCTTCATGAGAACAGTCCCCCACTTTGCTGATATACACTTGGTGTCTTCTCAGGGAGTCCGTTCTCCCACGGAGCTGACTGCTCAGAACACGAGGCCCAGGCCAGGGATGCCCTGGAGAGCTGATCCCCACAGGAGGGGGCTACCTGCAGACCTAACCCCTTGCCGTGGCCCCACCCTCTTCCAAAACCCTCCCATGGGTCTGGTTACCCATACGTTTACTTTACAGGAGAAGGCAGGTACATGCCATCTCCTCGACACCCCTGAATTCAGCCATCATGGACCACGTAGAGCCAGCCTTCTGGTCTGGTCCTCTCTCAGACATCTGCTACCAGTGCTGCTCCCACCGTCACCAGTCGTGACCATAGGAATGTGCAGTGGGAGTAGGGTCAAGTGGCTGAAGGACCCCCGCAGACCGGAGGATGCTGCTGAGGGCACATGATACTCAATCCAAACTCACAAAATGACGCCTATTTCTCCTGCCCACGTTGCCGCAGATCCTTCCAATACTCAGTTCCCACGGTGGAAACACGCGATCCATCAGGGCAGCCAGCTGGTCCTAGCTTCACAACACGTCAGGAATCTGAAGGCGTCTCATCGTCTCCACCATCTCTTGCCAGGTTATGGCGGGAGCCAGATCCCACGCTTGTCCTCTTAGGGTCTGTTCTCAACCTGGCACTCACAGCATCTCTTTAAAACTTACACAGGGCTATGTTATCCCTTTGCTAAAAATCCACCAAAGACTCCTCATCTCATTCAAAATGCAAGCCAAGTTCTTCCCACAGCCTGCAAGGCCCTCTGTGCCCCGCCTCCACCCTGCAGCTCTCTGACCGCCTTCCTCCTTCCTCCGCGCCTCGCCCACCAGGCACACTCCTGCCTCGGGCCTCACACTGTCAGGCACCTCACCTGGATGGGAGGGATCTCCACTTGCCAGAAATGCACTGGGCCAACTCCTTCACCGCCTGGGAGCTTTGCTCAAATCTTACCTTCTGAATCAGGCCTGCCCACCCTATTTAATTCTGCAACAGACGCCTTCCACCCCTCCCCCACACTCTCAAGCCCCCTAAACCTGCCTACTGTTTCCTTCTACAACATTTCCTTTTTAACATGCCATCTGCTTATTGGTTCACTGCTTATTGTCTGTTACCCACTCTAGAATGTGTGCTTCATGGAGGCCAGAATCTATTTGGTTCACTGATGTATTCTAAAAGCCCAAAACAGTGCCTGAGACATAATGGGTGCTCAGTAAAGACTTAAAACCTAGCTTCACTATCCACTGCGTGGTCACCAAAGAACAGTAGCAGGAGAAGTGCCAATACTTACTCAGTATTTCTCATGTGCCAGACACTAAGAAAGAGGTTTTCTTTCTTAGAAATGTTAAATGTTAAATGTTGCACAATTTAAGCTGGACACGGTGGCACATGTCAGCAGTCCCAGCTACTTAGGAGGCTGAGGTGTGTGGATCACTCACCAGAGTTCTAGGCTGTAGTGTGCTGACTGCACTTGTGAATAGCCACTGCACTCTAGCCTGAGCAACACAGCATGATCCCATCTCTAACAAAAAGGCTGCACAATTCAATGTTCACAACTGCCTTGCAGTAAGTCAGGTTGAAGTTTCTCTACTTTATAAATGAGAAAACGGACTCAGAGAACACATAACTACAAACAGGTCAGAATTCTGACCTAGATACTAAAGCCCATGAGATTGTATCACCACCCTGAGAAGCACGCATATTATCTACAGTTACCTGGAGACTGTCCTTGTCCCCTTCCTCATTCACTGTCCCTCCCACCTGATACCTAACATTTACCAGAAGGCACAGCCCTACGCAGATGGTCAGGACAGGCATTGGGCCGCATTCACCATTAGGAGAGCTGCGTGGTGGGAGTTAAGGACGCTGGCCTTGGCACCTGGGTCACCGGCTCCCTTGGGTCACAGGAGCACATCCTGGCTCCACCCCTCACATGCTGTGGGGCACAGACAAAGCACACTGGACACAGGTGGCGCTCATGGCGGGTCAGCATATGCGCATGTGTATAACACGGCCTCCAACAGGCAGTACGTGCTCCGGGACTGCTCATCCCCGTTGAGGTGGCTCTTCTCATGGGGAACTCCCAGCTTGTCACATGAGGGCCTGATCTGGCCTGTTGCTTGGGGCCAGGGAGAAGCGTAAATAGCAAACAGCACTAAGGAAAGATCCGAGAAACGACCCTTGAGCAGATCCTTGTCCTATGCCAAGATCAAAAGGCGGCAAGACCCAGAAGGAAAAAATAATTCTTTTATGAAATTTTCACTCACCTCTGACTTCCAGTGGATTAAAGAAACACTGAAAACACACTGGCCTCAGCAAGTAATCAGATTTTACCCTTCATAATCTAGGGTTTCTGCTGCCCGGCCTTTCCCCGCATCAGAGCCCTCAGGCCTCCGGCCACATTCGCTGACCTCTAGTCACTGGGCTTCCTTTCCTGGGGTTGGTTTTCTCCTGCCAGGGCTTGGAGGCGCCCTGGCAACACAGGCAGGCGCGCTGCTCACCTCCCCATACGACACACCTCCTGGCACACCAAGAGCAAACGGGGCTGACATCCACAACTGCTCCCAGGCAAGGAGAGGCAAGGCTGCTGGCCTTTGAGAGCTGACGGACTCTGATGAGCTGTGGGGAGGGAGGGCAAGGGCTCCTGAAGTGTCTCACACTGTAAGACAGCAGCAGCCCCAGATACCAAAGCTGCTGCCAGGAAGTGGTGGGTGACAGGGAGGGGGAGAGAAGGCAGTTTTGCCTTTGAGTCCAGATGAAGCCTTTCAGGCTCAGATTTTTCCAGTCTTTCCTTAAAAAAAAAGAAATGAACATGCCAAGCATTACTAAGCATATTCTGTAACCACATTTCTTGTGAGCTACAGATTCCATGTGAGTTGATTCTAAATGAAACTGACATCCGTGTTCACACACAAGTCATCACCCTAGAGGGAGTGGGCCTGGGAGTTCACGGCCTAGGCAGGCCCACAGAAGTCCACGTGGCCTAACGCCTCTCCTCGCTGCCCTCGAGGAAGGTCCAGGAACGCTTCTCCAGATAGAAAGTGAGAAGCTATCTCTACAGACCCAAACAAAAAGCTTTTAATGATAGCAATAGCAACATTTTAACTTTTTATTTTATAGACAGGGTCTTGCTCTGTCACTAAAGTTGGAGTGCAGTGGTGTGAAGAGAGCTCACTGTTGGGGGAGGGGGCTTTGCCTCTGAGTTTAGCCTCAAACTCCTGGGCTCAAGCAATCCTGCTGCCTTAGCCTCCCAAGTAGGTAGGACTACAGGTACATACCACCACTCCTGGCTAATTTTTAAAATTTTTTGTAGAGATTTTGCTGCCCAGGTTGGTCTCAAACTCCTTGGCTTGCCCTCGCTATGTTGCCCAGGCTGGTCTCAAACTCCTTGGCTCAAGCAGTCCTTCCACCTTGGCCTTCCAAAGCACTGGGTTGATAGGCACGAGCCCCAGTGCCCAGCCAGCAACATTTTAATATGTCTCAATGATTATATATTTAGTCTGGTAGAACACATGTGACTCTCTGCCAATGATATGGTAGCTTTGAGCAACTGCTTATATGACCATTGAACTTGATGTTCCAGAATGAGGTTTGTTAGGGAGACCTGCTTTTAATGGATCCTTGTCTTCATCCAAGCAACTACAAGATCAAGCCTTTGTGAACCGCACATCACTCCATCATTTTCTTCCCAGCTGCCCATCGGTGTGTAATTGTGAGGTCGTTAGAGTCCTATCAGACAAGAACAGCTAACACCAAGTGCTTAGTCTATGGCAAGCATGCCTCCAGGCCTCTTCTCTAACAGAAACATGGGTGGATGCAAAAGCACCTAAGAGTTTGACCAAAGCACACCCCATTCAATTCCTGACTCTACCACTAATACTTACAGTCGAAGTGTCTTAATCTCCCAACGTCTGTTTCATGGGGATAACAATACTTAAACCTAAGTGTGAAATAAAATAATTTAAGTGGAGTGCTGCCCTGTCAATGTTTACTCTTTTCCTTGAGATCAAGCCTTTCAGGTATCTGAGTGAAGATGGTTGAGCCCAACATCGCCTCTCACCCTCCACTTGTCCCCCTTCTGTCTCTACAGCACTGAGAAGAAGTGGCTGGGTGCACTCAGTGTAGTTCCCAGTGGAGAGGTCCAGTGTAGGGCTTCTTCCCTCTCAAGCTGGAGAGACCAGCACCAGAGCCTCAGGATGAGGATCTTAGAGCCAAAGGCCTCAGGGGAGGCTGGCCTGGAGAGACCTGCGGGCCCTGGAGGAAAACCAGCCCCATCCTGAGTGCTCCGCCTGGATTCCCAGGCTCCAGGGGCAAAGCAGCAGGTGGCGCTGCAAGTCCCAGAGCCCACAAGTAAAGGGAAGGTCATGCGGGGTCCGCTCTGGACACAGAAGAGCCGCCTTCTCTCCCACCAGGGCAGGCCCACTAACCCCATCAGTGCTCCACCAGACCCAGGCCCCCTGAGCCAACGAAGAGTGATAACCCCTTCCAAGAGTCTCAGCAACACACAAGGGGGACCGCCCAGAAGAAACAGACACACCCCCAGAAAGAGGGAGCTACTGGAGGATACATACAACTTGAATTTTAATTAAAATAATTATAGTGCTCAAGAGGATTCTACTGCAACATACAGAGGAGGAAAAAAAAAGATTTCCTGTAACTAGAAAACATGATTTCCCAACTAAACAACTCTTCAAAGAGAAGAAAGGTGGGCACATAGGATTCTTGAGTTACTCACTCAGAAGATCAAGACCAGGAAAGAACAGAGTGGAAGATGCCGGGTGGAAGGCGTCAAGCTATGAGACTGTGAGGGTGCATCCTGAGACCTGGGAGGAAAAGGGACGGATGAACAGGGGCAGTGAAGACCCCAAGCTCTAGATACATGCCATGAGAAAACATGCACACCAGCTACTCAGGGGCAGAGACAGGAGAACTGCTGGAGCCTAGGAGCTCGAGACTAGCCTGGGCAACACAGGGAGACCCCATCTCTACAAATAATTTAAAAAATTAGCCAGAAGTGGTGGCAGATTCCTGTGGTCTGAGCTACTCGGGGGACTGAGGTGGAAAGATTGCTTGAGCCTAGGAGTTTGGGACCAGCCTGGGCCCCCATCTCTAAAAATAATTTTAAAAAATTAGCCAAGTGTGGTGGCGCGCACCTGTGGTCCCAGGTACTTGGGAGGCTGAGGAGGGAGGGGAGGATCACTTGAGCACAGGAGGCTGAGGCTGCAGTGGGCTGCAACTGTGCTGCTGTACTCTAGCCTGGGTGAGACAGAGCAAAGTCTTGTCTCAAAAAAAAAAAAAAAAAAATATATATATATATATATATGGCCTGGCAAGGTGGCTTACGCCTGTAATCCCAGCACTTTAGGAGGCTGACGTTTGGCAGATCAACTGAGGTCAGGAGTTCGATACTAGCCTGACCAAAATGCAGAAATCCCGCCTCTACCAAAAAATACAAAATTAGCTGGGCGTGGTGGAGTAATCCCAGCTACTCTGGAGGCTGAGGCAGGAAAATTGCTTGAACCAGGGAGGCAGAGGTTGCAGTGAGCCAAGATTGTGCCATTGCACTCTAGCCTGGGCAACAAGAGCGAAACTCCATCTCAAAAAAAAAAAAAAAAAGGCTTCCCAAGGCAAGGTATCACTCAGCTATCAAGTTTTTTTTTTTTTTTTAAAAAGATATATGAAGAGGTGAAACCCCGTCTCCACTAAAAATACAAAAAAATTAGCTGGGTGTGGTGGCAGGCGCCTGTAGTCCCAGCTACTTGGGAGGCTGAGGCGGGAGAATGGCGTGAACCTGGGAGGCGGAGCTTGCAGTGAGCTGAGATTGCGCTACTGCACTCCAGCCTGGGTGACAGAGTGAGACTCCACCTCAAAAAAAAAAAAAAGATATATGAAGAAAAAAATTGAGAGTGCAGGTGACCCTTGAACAACACGGGTTTGACCTGTGTGGGTCCACTTATACCCGGATTTCCTTCCTCCTCTGCCACCCCTGAGACAGCAAGACCAATCCCTCCTCATCCTTCTCTCCTCAGCCTTCTCAACCTGAAGAAGGCGTGGATGATCCACCTCCACTAAACGAACAGTAAATATATTTTCTCTTTCTTATGATTTTTCTTCATAATATTTTTTTCTCTAGCTTATTTTAAGAATACAGTATATAATACACATAACATACAAAATATTTGTTAATTGACCATTTATATTATTGGTAAAGCTTCCAGTTAACAGTAGTCTGTTATTAGTTAAGTTTTATACACAGATTTTTGGCTGTGTGGGAGGTCAGCTCCCCTAAGCCTTGTGTTGTTCAAGCATCAGCTGTATATACCAGTAGCCTCCCTGGCTGAGGACAACAGTAAAAAAAGGTCTCTAAAAATATATGGACCAGAACCAAGACCCTACAGTGAGAAAAGAGGAGAAAGAACTGATGACCAATGAGCCAAACGGTCTTGGGCCTTCTCAGGGGTGAATAGTTGATGCCTATTTCAATGTTGTTTCTGACACCCTTGATTTGATGGGTGATTGTTGTCATTTAATAGTGTAGATTCCCATCATGTCTAAGCAGAATGCATCTCAGTGATATGCACAAGACATGCAATTCAGTTTTTAAATTAATGCCACAGTATTTACTTTTACAGATAATTCTAAGACACAACTCAGACTAAAAATATGCTAGGATTCTTTACAGTTTGAAATTCTGTTAGTTGGCTGGGCACAGTGGCTCACGCCTGTAATCCCAATACTTTGGGAGGCCGAGGCAGGTGGATCATGAGGTCAGGAAATCGAGACCATCCTGGCTAACATGGTGAAACCCCATCTCTACTAAAAATACAAAAAATTAGCCGGGCATGGTGGCGGGCGCCTGTAGTCCCAGCTACTCGGGAGGCTGAGGCAGGAGAATGGCGTGAACCCAGGAGGCAGAGCTTGCAGTGAGCCGAGATCACGCCACTGCACTCCATCCAGCCTGGGCAACAGAGTGAGACTCCGTCTCAAAAAAAAAAAAAAAAAAAAAAAGAAATTCTGTTAAAGTAGAAATATTTAGTTATTACTGCAAGAGTAAAATGTTGCAATAATTAAAGACTGTAATAGCTACTAATTTTATAGGCAAAAAAATATTAAGAAATTAAGAGCCTTGAAGTATATAAACTGAGAAACAGAATGACAGTTAACAGAAATATTATGAGTATGTTGTCCAGATAACTTTAGAAAGAATATTTATCCTTTTAGAAATGACAGTTATAAAATTTAAGTAATAATACAAGACAGAACAACAGAGTTTAGATTATATCATAATTATAATCTTTGGAGAATTATTTCATATATTAGCTTTCATAATACTAAATAGCCCTTAAGAACTTAGTGTAATTTTATTGTCATTTAATTTTATTCAGGCTATAACTATTTCAAGAAACATTCCTATTTGCAAATTCTTCATCTGGTGATGATGAGTTAAAAGCAAAAACTCAACTATACCACGTTAAAAATTCAGGGATAAAAATTTCACAATCAAGTTTGACAACATCACTTTTTTTGAGACAGAGTTTCACTCTTGTTGCCCAGGCTGGAGTGCAATGGCGCAATCTTCGCTCACTGCAACCTCCACCGCCCACGTTCAAATGCAATTCTGCCTCAGCCTCCTTAGTAGCTGGAATTACAGGCGTGCACCACCACACCCAGATAATTTTTGTATTTTTAGTAGAGACGGGGTTTCGCCACGTTGGCCAGGCTGGTCTTGAACCCCTGACCTCAGGTGATCCGCCTGCCTTGGCCTCCCAAAATGCTGGGATTACAGGCGTGAACCACCATGTCCAGTCCAGAATACGTCACTTTCAATCTAGGACTAAAAAAGAATATTCAGAGCTTGAAGAAAAGAGTTACAGAAAAATGTCTGTTTTCAATAATAGACCTCTTAAGAATGTCTTCAGACAACTCCTTGTAGTTTTAAGTCTATGAAGACTAAAGCGACACTCAAAATGGCTGTTAAAATGATTATCATGAACAAATTATCATTTTCAGTAGTTAGAAGATGAAGAATTGCTGAGATTTGCCCAAGCTATGAATCCTGATTATTAAGTTCCTCCTGGAAACCATATTACGGAAAAAAAAACTGTTCCCTGAATTAATGTGCTCCTTCTGTATCTTGTACAGCAGACATTTGGCTGTGCAAACACATCCAGGCCTTTGAGTCTGACAGCCTGCTTGCTGGATTAATGAGGAAATCAGCCATGTTTCTCCCTCCCTTTCTGGCTGGCTGTCCCAGGGAATTCTGGGTAATCAAACTGATGTGTCATGAGAGCGTAAGTGTTCCTTACATGATATCTATTGTCTCCTCAGGGAAGACATCAAAACTAATGTTCATAGAAAAAAAAATCTGAGATGCAGACAGAAGTTCAAAAATGATTTTATCTTGAAAGATAGACATATTGCTCCATTGACACACTCCTAGTTTTTCCTCAAGCGATTATGAGAGGAAACAACTGCATGCAGAAATATCACAAGTAAAAATTATAATCGGGGCAACATCTGAAATTTACTCCTAAAAATATTCAAAGAATACCTCTAAGCAGTGAACCAAGGATTTGTTCATGGGTTTGTGTCCATGAAACTGCATCATCCTGTGGATTGGTCAAATCCTCAAGTCTAGGAGATGAAAAGAAGGTAAGTCTTTACCTTAGAGAGCTACTGCTGGAGAGAATGGTGGAGACGTCACTGGCAGAAGTACCCTGTGTTCACAGTTGTAGCCCAAATTGCCTTGCCCAGTCCCCAGTCCCAACTGAATCGCTCTTAATTTTCACAAATGTGTGGTAGAGTGACTACAGGTACAATCAAGCCACTGACAGCATGAGAGGTTATTATATCTATACTACATTGTCAACCTTTATAATTTTGAATCTAATACAGTATAAATTTTTTAAACAAAATTTCAGGCAGTACTCTTGTATCCTAGAAATTCCTTCCATAATTGGCTTCGTCTTGACTTAAGCAAACATTTACCCACTTGGACAAAAATGTATATTTGATGTATCTTGTATGTATGTATGCATGTAATGTAAAAGAACAATCAATCTCTGGGACTGAGTATGATAAAAGTTAAATAAGAATTCCTGATATAGAAGGTCTTGTTGAGGGGAAAGTAGTCTTACCTGGGGAAATAGCATACTGTTTTCAAATGACTGTAGAGCAATACATATTTTATTGCGAAGTAGTCAAGAAGAAAGGGACAGTTATTAAAATAGAAAATAAATTACAATCGATTGATTTTTGACCATAGGTGTCAAAATAATTCAATGGGGGAAAAGCAGTTTTTTTCAATTAATGGTGCTGAAGCAACTGAATATCCACATGCAAAAGAAAAAATGGAAACCTTACATCATATACCAAAAAAACTCAAAATAGACCAAAGATGTAAATGCAAGCATAAAATGATCAAGCTCTTAGAAGAAAGCATAGGGTTAAATCTCAGTGATTTCAAACTTGTCAGTGGTTTCTTAGCTAGGACACCAAAAACAAGCAACCAGAGAAAAATAGATACATGGGATGTCACAAAATGTACAACTTTTGTGCTTCCAAGGACATCATGAAGAGAGTGAAAAGACAACCCACTAAATGGAAGAAAAAACTTGGAAGTCATATATCTGATAAGACTATATAAGGAATATTCGGAATATATAAAGAACTCTTACAACTCAATAAAAAGACAAATGACTCAATTTAAAAATGGGCAAAAGACTTTGATAGACAGTTCTCCAAATGGGATATGCAAATGGACAGTTGGCATATGAGAAGATGCTCAACATCATGAGTCATTCAGGAAACACAAGTCAAAACCTCAATGAGCTTCCACTTCACACCTACCAGGAAGGCTGGAATCAAAACAACAGGCATTAACAAGTGCTGACAAGAATATGAAGAAACTGGAACCTTCATACACTGCCACTGGGATTGTAAAATGGTACAGTCACTTTGGAAAACAGCCTGGTAGTTTCTCAAAACGTTGAATACAGAGTTATCAGATGACCCAGCAACTCCACTCCTGGGTATATACCCAAGAAAAATGAAAACCATGTCCACACGAAAACCTGTACATAAAGGTTTTGCCATTATTCATAATAGCCAATAGGTGAAAACAACCCAAATGTTCAACTGATGAATAAATAAAATGTGGTATATACACTCAATGGAATATTATTCAACAAGAAAAAGGACTGAAATACTGAGACATGTGACAACATGGATGAAGCTTGAAAACATTACACTAACTGAAAGAAGCCAGTCACAAAAGTCCACATATTATGATTCCATGTATATGAAATGTCTAGAATAGGCAAAGCTAAAGAGACAGAAAGGAGATTAATGGTAATTTAGATGGCTAAAGTTTCTTTATGGGGTGATGGAAATAGTTTCACCAACTGTGAATATACTAAAAGCCACTGAATTGTACACACTAAATGGCTGAATTATTTTATAATAAAGCTGTTACTAAAAAAATGGAAAGTGAAGAACTTCCATATTATCAAGTAAAAAAAAAAGGATAAACAACTTGATCAAAATATCAAAAATGGGGAAATGAGAAAAAAAGCTGAATCAATAAAATAAGGTGGAAGAAATAAAATCAAGCCTGTTTGTTATTACTTTAAATGTGTACATATTGATTTATCCAACTAAAGGGCCTATAAGGTTGTGTTAAAAATATATATAAATTTATGCTGTTCAAGAGACATACCTAAAAGGACAAATAGGGTTGAAAATAATACACAAAACAAGGAGATACCAGGCAAATGCAAAGAAGAAGGCAGGGATGGCAAAATTAACAGCAGACAAGCTGGACTTGAGCTTAAAGGCACTGATGGATAGAGTGGTATTACTAAATGCATGGTTTTGGAAGAAATATAAAAGGTAGACGTATGTGTGCACCAAATAATACAGCAACTAAAAATTCTTAAAATTCAAGAACATGACAAAAAGTTATTTCTCAAATGAGAATATTTCCCAGAGAGAAAATAATAAAGACATGAAGAAGAGAAATAGATCAACAGATACCCTTACTTCCCTCAAATAAGAATATATATTTTTTCTTACACCTATGCCACATTTTTAAAGATTAACTGCATATTTGGCAACAAAGAAAACCTTTGCAAACCTTTAAAATTAAAAATTTAAAGGATACTTCGTTGATCACAATCCAATAAAATGAGGATTAAATAATCAGGTAACCAAAAAATCTTAACTACTTAGAAATTAAGAAACATATTCTTAGATCAAAGAAGAAATCAAAAGGGGAACTGGAGGATATCTTGAAAGCAAGGGAAAAGAGAACACTTCATATCAAAATTTATAGAACACTCCAGAAGATTTACTCTGAGGAGACTTTAGTGTCAAATGCCTTCAATATTAATGAAGGTATTTTACAAATAAAAAGGAACTTTGCACTAATCTTAAGCAATTAGAAAAGGACAGCTTCTACTTCAAAAGGAAGATTTTACAAAAAAGATAAAAGTTCAAACTAATAAAAAATAAAAAAGGACACGTAAGCCCAAAGCTGGCTCTCTGAAGAGACCAATAAAATAGAAAAACCCCTCAAATGCCCAATTAAGCATAAGATAAAGAAAAGGTGAGTGTGGTGGGGGTGGTGAGGGGAAAGGTAGGGGAAGAGTAAAGGAAAAGGGAGAGAGGCCAGGTACAGTGGCTCACACTATCTGTAATCCCAGCACTTTGGGAGGCTGAAGTGGGAAGACTGTTTGTGCCCAGGAGCTCAAGACCAGCCTAGGCAACATAGCAAGACCCTGTCTACAAAAAATTAAGGAAAAAAAAAATTAGTCAGGTATGGTGGCACACGCCTGTAGTCCCAGCTACTCAGGAGGCTGGGGTGGGAGGATTGCTTGGGCCTGGGAAGTAAAGGCTGCAGTGTGCCATGATCGTGCCATCGCACTCCAGCCTGGGCAACAGAGCACAGACCCCCATCTCAAAAAAGGGCGGAGAGGGGAAGTGAGGGAGGATGTGCAAAAACAGACAAGATTATGATTGAGAGCAGGTATAAAAAAGCAAACGCAGTAGAAATTTTTTAAATCATTAAAAATATATACTGCATGGAACTTCATGTCAACAAATTTGAAAGCCTTAGAATAAACAAATGATTTCCTAAATATAAATCATCAAACTGATTCAGTAAGTGGAAAAAATCAGAAAAAGTCACCATGACCAGACAGGTTCACAGCTGAGTTTTATCTAACCCGTGATTCTACTATTAAATGGCAAAAGGCAATTAAGAAATAATAAACCAATTCATTTATGAAGCCAAGCATAATTTTAATTCCCAAACTTGAGAGATGAGAAATTATTAACAAATCTGGCTTATGATTGATTTGTTACAGAAACTCTGAACTAATATTAGCAAATAACATAATTCAGCTGTGTATCAAAGAGAACTACATACTGAGACCAACCTGGGTTTATCCCAGGAACATAAGGGTACCTCAGTACCAGGAAATCAATAAAATTCACTTCGTCAACAAATTAATTATGGAAAAGACTACAGAATCATAGGAATAATAGCAACAAATGCTAAAAAGGCATTTAATAAAAGTTTTTAAAAATGAAGTAAAATAGAAGATATTCATGAGAAGAGCTTGACAAAAGGTATATAAAACAAACCCGTATTTGTTAAACAATGAACTCTCCCCCCAAAAAGAAAAACCCTACACATGTACATGTATGCAAAAATGTGTTCATGTATGAGCACCAAGTTTTCTACATGGGTTATGTGGACAGAGATAGAGAAGGAGAAGGGAGGGAAATTCCAACAAAAAAGGGAAAAGGGTCAGAAAAAGGACTCCAGTCAAGAACCATGTATAATATTATATTAATGCTTATCAACGAAATTACAGTTGGCCCTTGAACAATGCAGGGGTTAAGGGGTTGACCCCAACCCAGTTGAAAATCTATGTATAATTTTCAACTTCCCCAAAACTCAACTACTAATAGCCTACTGTTGAGTGATATTAAGAAAATCATAAGGCAGAAAAAACATATTTTCTATTCATTAAGGGGAAATGGATCATCCTAAAGTCTTTTTTTTTTTTTTTTTTTGAGACAGAGTCTCGCTCTGTTGCCCAGGCTGGAGTGCAATGGCGTGATCTTGGCTCACTGCAGGCTCCACCTTCTGGGTTCACACCATTCTCCTGCCTCAGCCTCCCGAGTAGCTGGGACTACAGGCACCCACCACCACACCTGGCTAATTTTTTGTATTTTTAATAGAGATGGGGTTTCACCATGTTAGCCAGGATGGTCTCAATCTCCTGACCTCATGATCCACCCTCCTCGGCCTCCCAAAGTGCTGGGATTACAGGCATGAGCCACCGCGCCCGGCCCATCCTAAAGTCTTTATCCTCATCATCTTCACTGAGTAGGCTGAGGAGGAGGAGGAGGAAGAGGAGTGGTTGGTCTTGCTGTCTCAGGGGTGGAGGTGGAAGAAAATCTGTGTATAAGTGGACCCACCCAGTGCAAACCTGTGTTGTTCAAGAGTCAACTGTATATATTTTCGCATGCATAATTTTTTTAAAGATTGCATGCAATATCACAACGACTAATAAAAAGTCCTCCTTTTGTTTTTAAATCCACAACCACCACCTGCCTTCCCAGTCCAAGTTTCAGGGTAACATACAGTAAGTCATTAACAGGTTCTTGGAAATTGTGACTTTAAGCAAAATAATGTAAGAAAACCAGTATTTTTTCTCATCAACATTATAACAAAAAGACATTATTCAAGGGCCTGCGGTACATTGTTTTGCTTAAAGTTGCAGAAGAACCTACTGATGATGTTAAGTGAGGACTTACTGTGCTTTGTGGTAAATATTACCTTCAGTTGCACTCCCTAATGGAAATATGAATCAGACTACTGGTGGCATGCCGCTCAGAACTCAGGCACAGCCATCCACACTCCCACCCGGAACCAGACTCCCAGCTTGCCAACCTCCCTATTCTGTCTCAGAGGGAGATATTCTGGAGCTGTTAGGGAGCAGAATTTCGAGCAAAAAATTAGGTATGGTGGCACACACCTGTAGTCCCAGCTACTCAGGAGGCTGGGGTGGGAGGATTGCTTGGGCCTGGGAAGTAGGGGCTGCAGTGAGCCGTGATCGCATCATCGCACTCCAGCCTGGGCAACAGAGCACAGACCCCCATCTCATAAAAGGGCGGGGAGGGGAAGAGAGGGAGGATGTGCAAAAACAGACAAGATTATGATTGAGAGCAGGTATAAAAAAGCAAATGCAATGGAGATTTTTTAAATCATTAAAAAAATATACTGCATGAAACTTCATGTCATCCTTTGGTTTCCCTTGGTACCATCTGCATCTATCATGTTTTCTGTGGCTCTAAAGATGCCTTCACGCTGTCTCCTGCTGGGTGTTCCCTTAGGACCTAGGACAACCTGCTCGTGTCAGCACCTCTTACGCTGCATCACAACTATCTGTGGATCGGCCGTTTGTCTTCACCACCAGGAGTTATGCTGTTTGAGGGCTAGAACCTCTGCTTCTTATCAATCCCCAGTTTTTAACATAGTGCCTGGTGCAGAGTAGGCACTCTATAAATATCTGCCAAATGTATGAAATGTATTTGAAAGAAGATATGAAGCCTACACTCAAAAACTTCTCAGGGCTGTTCTACTTCCGTTTCATGTTAAAATTTCTACCTCTGCAGCTGATAAATTGATGGGGTGAAGGAACGCTGGCACACCCCAAGGTGCATGTGACTTAGGTTAGTCGTTTGGGATTACGAACATTGGATCACTCTTAGGAGCCCACCAGAGACAGTACAAAGGGTACTTGGCTGAATGTCTCCTGTGTAGGACCCTATATAATCCCATCTGGTGCCTGGAGTCACCCCTCTGGGAGATGACAATCTAGAGGCAGAGCTGGGACCAGTGTCTGTGTGTCTCCAAAGCTCTGTGCACATCGCAATGCCTTTCTGACAGGCAGAACCAAAGACAGCCGCGGATCTTCCCTCCTTCCCACCAAAGCATCCCACACACTACCTTCAGAAATGGGGGCTGCACTCTCTCAACTATTCCAATTTCCCCAGTGTCATTTGCCTTCTTCCTAAATTTACCTAATCTTTTTCAGAATGTTTGTATTTCTTCTCTGCTACACTTCTGGAAGAGACCGAGTCTATACATTTATAATACAAGGTGTGAGTTTACCCTTGCTATTATTTACCTGTAATTTACCTCTTTCGATCTTAAAGAAAAACAACTGTTGTCTCAATTTCCAATGAGGTTCTGTTCCAGGTCTCCACTGGCACTCTGAATGCACATCCCCCTAAGATGCCACAGGCTGTGCTCCAACACCCCAGCTCGCCTAAGAAAATGCAGCCAAGGAAAACACACAGGCAATTCAGCTGAAATATCAGCACTAAAGAGCAAACCAAATAGGACATTTGTATTCACCTTCGATGCTGGGACCTGAAGGAAGCAAATGTCATTACGTCAGATAAGGAAGGAGATGAAGACTGCTTTACATGTGCATTCTGAAGTGAATGTCTACTCACAGAACCTCACGTCTTCATGTGATCCACACCCACAAACTCAGCAGTGGAATTCCTGGGAACACTTATTTAAGATGGCACTGGTGGAAGATGTCACCTTCCCCAAACGCATAAAGTGCTCAAATAAGCCAGGTGCAGTGGCTCATGCATGCAATCCTAGCACTTTGGGAGGCAGAGGTGGAAGGATGGCTTGAGCCAGGAGTTTCAGACCAGCTTAGGCAACATAGTGAGACCTTGTCTTTACAAAAAAATTAAAAAGAATTAGGTGGGCATGGTGGCGCCTATCTGTAGTCTCCGCTGAGACTGCAGTCTTAGACTGAGGTGGGAGGACTGCTTGAGCCCAGGAGTTCAAGGCTGCAGTGAGCTGTGATCACACCAGTACACTCCAGCCTGGGTGACAGAACGAGACTCTGTCTAAAAAAAAAAAAAAGTGCTCAAATAAGAAAGATGCCCACTAACCACTCTGGGTGATTCCACTTGTTGACAGTCTTTCCTCCCAGAAAAATCTCCCTGTATCCTGATCCTTTATATTCTCTTTGTAACCCTGTTTCTCAAACTTGAGAAAATAGGTCTCTCCTTCTTCCCTATCTGGTTACTCCTAAGGTGACAGATTCCATTTGCAGTTGCTTTTGCCAGGGAAGCTTGCTGGAGGCTTTGAAACATCAAAATTGAATTTATCTACTGGCTTCCTGTCTGCTGCCTGGCAGAGATGAGTGCAGTGACCACTTCCCAGTGAGGCCTGTCATCTGCCCATGTGGGTCTCTCTTCCCCCATGGGCAGGCAGATGACAGACCTCAGTGAGAACGTCTGCTTACGTTGCACTGTTCAGAAACCAGGCAGCAGTCCCATCTCACTCCAAGAGGTGCAGCCATTTCCCAGAATACAAGGCAATGGGGGAAGACAGGTTTGCTATGCAATGATCATCTTTGGTTCAGAGCCCTTTGCAAGGGACTTGTTATAAATTAGTTGATCTGACCCACATATACCATGTTCCACACTCATTGCTCTAATATGATTCTTCCTAGTCCCTTAATCAAAGGGACCAGTCTACTCTTGAGCACTCTGTAGCTCCACTTCCTCATTTTAAAAATAGGGATAATGACAGTATTCACTTGACAGGATGGTTGTGAGGATTACATAAGTTAGAAAGTGCTTAGAAAAGCATCTGCATATAGTAAGTGATATACAAGCATTTGTTAAATGAATAAAGGGGTGCAAGCAGCTGGCTTCCCTGTAAATTCCTCATAGATTCCTGCCTATCTTGGGTGTCTCTGGGCCACCAGGAAGTGAGCAGGTTGTAGAAGCTCAAGACTGTATTAAATTCCCCAGTAGCCATCAAGTTTGGTCTTCCAACCAGGACAGAAATCCTCATATTTGGTGGCATTGGTGTCTCTGGGGTAAGAAACTCACTCCTTTGTGGAGCTGCCCCATTAACTCTTCCACTATTTTGGATGTTGGAAATGCTCAGCTTGTGAACATTTTTTACCGGCACCGAATCCCGTACCCACTTAAAAATCTACTTCTGCGTCCATCTATTCCTTTGTTCATTCAAGCATTCAAAAAAAACTGAGCACCTGCCACATTTTTACCATATACTGTGACCAGAATGTCCAAGGTCTCCACACATGATAAATAAATTAGCTTATGCAGGTGGCAGTGAGTGCTAGGAGAGACCAGAGGGAAGGTAGTGATTTTAGATGGGTAAAGACAGTGACACTGGAAACAAGACCAGGCCAGCAGGCAAGGGCTGCCGTTCGAAAGTCAGGAAGAACATTCCGGGCAAGGGCCTGGCAGACAGAAGATCACATGGCCAGAGACAATGGTAGGACGCGTGCTACAAGGTGACAATAGAGAGGAAGACCAGGGTGGACCTAGAGACCCGGAGGCCATGCTAAGGAATCTGGATTTCCCTTCGGTTTGGATGGGAAGTTACTGGAGGAGTTTAAGCAGAGAAGTGAGTATATGAACTTGTGTTTGTAAAACATCACTTTTCCAGCACAGCCTGGGGAAACTGAAACCGGGGCAGGGGCAGTCAACAAAGGTGGAGGCTGAGAATCCAAGCGGATGAAAGCCCCACCAGCCTGGCCAAGGGGTGATGCTGTCTTGGCTACGGTTGGCAGCAATGGCAATGATATAAGAAGTGGAAGGATTTGTAGTTCTAAACTTTTTCATGAAAGTAACTTCTTAAATATATGCCTAAATGTGGCCGGTTTTTCATTCTTTTGTAATAATTCTTCCTGCAACTCACAAATGAGGGGAAGGAAAGTTCTTTATACCCTGTGGGAGAATAGGCAAGCATTCCTTCTCCATAGTCAGATATTTCAGGGATTCCAGTATTCTCCCACCCCCAAGATCATGTTGTATTTCCTCTCACCAATAAAGGTCTTATCCCATTCCCTTCTGCTGTCATTTTCCCTCCTCCTTCCTTAAAGGAAGGACCCCGGTGCTTCTCCATGGATTCTGCCCTAAGTACTCATTTCTCAACATGCTTGGCAAATCCCCCTCCCTGTGGGATCCAGGGTTTGCTACGTAAATCTACATCCATGCCTGAACCTGGAGTTTGGATTCTAGCTACAGTTACTTGCAATAGTAATAATTATAGGTGTTAAATTTTAAGATATTTTCACTAAGAAAGTCTCAAGTAAGGAAGCTCAGTTTAGGGGCCAGTGCGACTGCCCACGGGCAAAATGGCACGCCTTCTCTCCCCTTTGCTCAAATGGCTCTCTTGTTTGAGACACTTTTCCTTCCTCTTCACCTGACTAGTTATTTGTTCTTCAAGGTGCAGCTCAGGGGCCACCTCCTCCAGAAATGCCGCCTCTTCTCCAACCCAGCTGGAGGAAGTGAGGCACCTCTGGAATCCCATAGAAATCCATGTTTTCCCTGATCACAGCATTCACCAGAGACACTTATCTCTTTTCCTTCACTCTGTCTCTCCTATTGAACCCCAGGGGACATGTCTAACTTCTCGTTTTATCCCAGCAGGGCTCAATGTGCTGGCTGAATTAATAGGAGGCACATCTCATCCATTGCTGGTGGGAGTGTAAATTGGAAAACTGCTTGGCAGCACTTCCTAAAGTAGTGGTTCTCAATACCTGGTGCTTTTGCCCCCCCAGGGGACATTTGGCAATGTCTGGAGACATGTCTGTTTGCTACAACTGGGGAGGAGGGGTGCCAGTAACATTCAGTGGGTAGAGGCCTGGGATGCTGCTGAACGTCCTGCAGTGCTCAGGACAGCCCCCCACCAGCAAAGAATTATCTGGCCCAAGTTGAAAGACCTTGTACTAAGGGTAAATATACAATGAATCCATGGCCTAGCAATCCCACTCCTAGGTATACATGGCCCAAGGAAGTGATGTATACAAACATCAAGAAAACATGTACAAGAACGTTTGTAGCAACTTTCGGGTTTGGAAACAAACCAAAAGTCTACCGATAGGACACCAGGTAAATAAACTGTAGTACAGTTGTACAGTGGCATACTACACTGCAATATAAAGATAGGACTGCTCTATGCGATATGGATGAATCTTACAGGTAAAACAATTAAGTATTGGTGATGAACTCAGAATAATGGCTACCTCTGGGGACAGGGAGGTACTGATGGGAAAGGGGCAGGTAGGAATCTTCAGGATGCTAAGAATGTTTTTCTTTTTTCTTTTCGAGATGGGGTCTCACTCTGTCAGCTTGTACCACAGTCTGGAGTGCAGTGGTACAAACACAGCTCACTGCAGCCTCACCCACCTCAGCCTTTAGTGTAGCTGGGACTACAGGCATTCACCACCACGCTTGGCTAATTTTTTAGAATATTTTTTAGGAAAGGTGGGCTCTCTTTGTGTTTCCCAAGATGGTCTCGAACTCTTGGTCTCAAACAATTCTCCCACGTCAGCTCCCAAGTGGCTGAGATTACAGGCTAGGCATGAGCCACTGCATCTGGAACTAGGAACACTCTTTACCTTGATCTGGGTGGTAGTGACACAGGTATACCCATGTAAGAATGCACTGTGCTGTGCACGAATGTCTCATGCAATCTATGTGTGCTATGACACACATAAGCTTCATTATATAAAGTAATCCTCTAGAACACTTAATCATTCCACTGTTGGTGGGAATGTAAATTAGTGCAGCCACTGTGCAGAGAACTTTGGAGATTTCTCAAAGAACTGAAAGTGAACAATTTGACCCAGCCATCCCATTACTGGGTATATACCCAAAGGAAAACAAATTGTTCTACCAAAAAGACACATGCACCCATATGTTCATTACAGTGCTATTGACAATAGCAAAGACACAGAATCAACCCAGGTGCCCATCAATGGTGGACTGGATAAAGAAAATATGGTGCACATACACCATGGAACACCACGCAGTTATAAAAAAGAAGGAAATCACGTCCTCTGCAGTGACATGGATGCAGCTGGAGGTCATTATCCTAAGTGAACTAATGCAGGAATAGAAAACCAAACACTGCATGTTGTCACTTAGAAATGGGAGTTAAACATTGGGTACACATGGACATGAAGATGGCAAAAATAGATACTGGGGACTCCTAAAGGAGGGAGGGAGGGGAGCAAGGTGAGAAAAACTACCCATTAGGTACTCTGCTCACCACAGGGTGATGGGCTCAATCAGACTCCAAACCTCAGCATCACACAATATACCTTTATAACAAACCTGGACATGTATCCCCTGAGTCTAAAATAAAAGGTGAAAAGTAAATACAAAATAAAATAAAACAAAATACTCCTCTAAGAGCCATCTTACTCTTACTGGTGGGCATCGCATACCGGTTTGCTGCCTTGTAAGCAGGATGTTCTAATGGACTCTCTGGGGTACTGCTGGCAAAGGCATAAAAAGGTACATTTCTGGAAGACTCTTTCACAACAGATATCAAAACCCTTTAAAATACGCAAAATCCTTACCTCAATATTGCTTTATCATTTGATGCTAAGGAGTAAATTGAGGATGTATATGTAAGCTTAAGCTTCAGGCCAGGCGTGGTTGCTCACACCTGTAATCTCGGCACTTTGGGAGGCCAAGGCAGGTGGATCACCTGAGGTAAGGAGTTCAAGACCAGCCTGGACAACATGGCGAAACCCCATCCCTACTAAAAATACAAAAATTAGCCAGGCGTGGTGGTGCGTGCCTGTAATCCCAGCTACTCAGGAGGCTGAGGCAGGAGAATCACTTGAACCCAGGAGGCAAAGGTTGCAGTGCACCAAGATTGTGCCATTGCACTCCAGCCTGGGCAAAATGAGCAAAACTCCACCTCAAAAACAAACAAAAAAACAAACTTAGGCCTCAACTATGTTCACCACAGCACTAATTTAACAGCAAACAAAGGGGAGAGAGAAGTGGGGCAATAAACTCAATCCTAACAAAAGGGAACCCTAGAGTATTATAGATTCAGTGAAAACATCTTTTTAAAATTTAAATGGAAAATGTTCATAATATATTAATAACAATTAAAAATCAGGTCCCTCAACAAAATGTAATGTAAGATACATGAAGCACATATTCTGTATGTCAACTGTGGTTATCTCTGGGAAAAGGAAGGTAATTTGATTTTTACAATTTTTGATGTGGTTTGGCTCTATGTCCCCACCCAAATCTCACCTTGAATTGTAATAATCCCCATGTGTCAAGGGCGGGGCCAGGTGGAGATAACTGAATCATGGGGGCAGTTCCCCCCATGCTGTTCTCGTGACAGTGAGTGAACCAAGATCTGATGGCTTTATAAGCATCTGGCATTTCCCCTGCTGGCAAATTCTCTCTCTTTGCCTGCAGCCATCCATGTAAGATGTGACTTGCTCCTTCTTGCCTTCCACCATGATTGTGAGGCCTCCCCAGCCATGTGGAACTATAAGTCCAATAAACCTCTTTCTTTTATAAATTGCCCAGTCTTGGGTATGTCTTTATCAGCAGCATGAAAATGGAGTAATACAATTTTTATCCTTTTTCTTATTTATTTTCTAAAATGAATATATGTAACCTGTTAATAAGAAAAAAACATACAATCACAGTCCTTAAAAACAAAGGCGTGAGCAAGGTATGGTGGAATGCACCTTCAGTCCCAGCTACTCAGGAAGCTGAAGCGGGAGGATCACTTGGGCCCAGGAGTTTGAGTCCACCCTGGGCACATAGTGAGACCGTGCCTCTAAAAAGAAGTCTACAAAGTGAGTTTTGGACTCTAAAACTAGGTTAGACCTCACCACCTGTTCCAGTGTATGCAAAGCCCCACCTCCTGAAAAACAGCTCTGAGTACTCATTAGGACAACTCGGGACAGCAAGGATTAAACAGGGAGCTAGAGAAAAATCCAGATTCTCCTCTTCTGGAAGGCAGCTACGCCAACCACTATACCACCAACACCCTGGCAAGATTCTACTCTTCTGTATCCTGTTTGTGGTATCGATTACACAAATCATGAGTTAAAACTCACAGAACTGTATCCGCTTCCCCCCAAAACTAAAAGCAATTCATGTATAACCATAAAAATAAATATTTTTTACTGAAAAAGGTTCTAGTAAAAGAAAAAAAAGGCACTACATTTCCTGAATTATTGAGTCTGACTAGTTAGATGGTGATCACTTAATCTGGTAATCTCATCACCCCCGGGAAAGTGAAGGCAGCAACTTCCTTCCCCAGTCACATGGCAGTGGCAACTTCTCGGCCACAGAGTCCTTGTGAAGACTGAGTTTGATAATAATGCATGAAAATGCAAGTGACAAATGAGAACTGAGGGTTAGCAGTAGCAGCTCCAGTTTCACCCCCTACATGAACAGACTCCTGGGAAAAGAGCAAAACAGCTCTCCCAGGAAGCTCCCTTCTCTGAATTCTGTGCAGCCACTGCAAGATGACACACAGTCTTGCACTTGATTACTATGTAGCTTTGCCTAAGATTATCTTGCAGCTCACCAAGCTTCAAAGTTCCTCCTGGAGCCACAGAATCCTGTACAGAGCTAAAGGTAGGAGCAGCTTCTTATACTTAACACCATAGACAGGGTTCCAGGTCTCTGAGTTCACAAACCCCTTTAGAGCCAAGGGTCTCAGTTTAATTCTGGTTTTGAGAGAAAGATTTTTCTTTTTATTAAAAAGGCTTTAAACCAACAACAAACTGTAAAGATAAAACATTCAACAATGTTAATTTCCAATGCTATATGTTTCTCTCCAGCTGCTCAAGGTCATACCTCCCCACTGAATGATTAGAGGGTTGCTGAGATGGTAAATGGGGGGAAAACACACACATACACACACACAAATATATATATATATTTTTCCCTCTCTCTCTCTCTTCTATGAAGTCTAACCTCTAATAGAAAGAGTGAACAGCTCAGATCCCAGCCAGCCATGACAAAGGACTGACAAACCAAACAGACGAGAGCCCTTGAGCATCTGTGAAATCTGTCTGTTCCTCTGCCTCCTCCGAGAAACGAATCACAAGACTGCTCAGAATAAGAAACCAAAAGGGCAGAGGCTCAAAAAGCAGCCGGGCCTGAATTTCATTCTGTTTCCAAAGAGTGAGCTCACATGCTGTGTTGGTTATTTGCACAGTGGGCAGGCAGGCTGACAGCTTGAGGGGGCTATTTTGGGGGGATATATGCTGCAAGTCTGGTTAAGAGAGGGTCCTAGGCTCTGCACTCCCAGTAGGCATTTCAGCTCCCAGGCAGATCATGCATCTCCACAGGGGTTAAGAGCCCAACAGCTAGCCCGACAAGCATAGCGTGTGCATTTAAGTCATCCCGAGGGAATCCACACCTCAATGCACAGCCAGAACCTAGGGGAGGTGAGAGAGGAGACAGAAGAGTGGGCAAGGGCCCTCTCCACCCATAACTACTGGCCGCACTTCCGGAGGAGCTGATCTAGGAAGCTAAATACGCTGAAAAACAGAAGGAAAGGGCTGGGAAGACAAGAACAGCCTGAAGAATGGCGAGGATTTCCCACCTTAACTACAGAAATGTTGCTTTTAGGGCTGGCACGGGAACTAGCACTGCTTCCTCCCTCTCCCAGCTGGGCACCAAGTATCTCCCTACTGTGTGCACTCCCTTATGGTGGGGGTGGGGGGATGTGGCAACTCCGACTACAACTCATAATGGTCCCCAGTGTCTACCTCCCTCATGCACAGCGACTCTGCAAAGGTTTCTAGGTCATCAGAGTTATCTTTCTGATTAAAAAAAAAAAAACCAAAAACCTAGCACAAGCAATACACATTTGCATACAATACCCAGTTACATACACACATTTACATACCCGCACATTTCCATAAAACACATTTATGTACATACACATATACCTGTTTTTACAGTTGCAGCAAGGCAGGAAGCCTCTATCAAATCTCGATTCTGTGCTTTCCTCATCTGATTCCAGCAGCAAGAGCAATTTGAATTATAAATTTTCCATTATAAAGCCTGATTAGAGATCAAAATGCCACCTGCTTACTTTCCTCCCTACCCCACTCTACCCATGCAGTGAGATTTGTTAATAAACAGGGAACAAAGATGGAAGAGAGATCCAGGCTGCATTCTTTGCAAGTGGGGAGCGCACGCTTGTCGTAGCGTTTTAGATACTGTGCTCTGGTAAACCCTAGCAGGCTGATCCTCTTTGCTCCCCAAGTGGCCAGGATGCAGCTCTCAGCCTCTTAATAAACACATCCATCTCCCTCCACACTGGTAGGCGCAAGGATTTTCTCTGACCAAACCCACACTTCTGCATCTATTTTCAGCCCCCATAAATCATATTCCATTGTTTTGGAGAAACTGAATTCAAGTTTAACAAGCCATCAACCTCATCCCTCCATTCTCCACCACTCCAAATTTCCCTCAGGGAGAAATTTGCAAAGAGGAAATTCTAAATCAGATGTGGAGTTAAAAGGCAAGCTCCCACACAGGGCAGGAAAACAAAACTGGGTAAAAATACCGGCAATAACCACTAATGTCTTTGGTTAAAGGACCTGATTCTTCGGTCCAGGTGTGAACTCAGTGGGCATCTGCAGGAAGCAGAATTTGAACCTAACGCTAAATGACACACGATCCTGCTCTTCATGACCGTAAGTGCTGCGGTGGCTGGATTAAATGGCTCTGCTGCAGAATTTCTCCCATTTCAAGGTTACTAAGAAATATAAGATGGATTTAAAATTTATTTGTGTGCTCACCCTTCTCACATCAGCACATTCAGGATTCTTTTTCATAACTAGGCTTGACCTAGCACAAGTTCTCTATTTCGCCCTGAGACACGCAGAGACTTGCTGTGCAGTCCCAGGTGGACCTGGATCTCAAATGTTCCAGGATCGAAATTACATCACAGATGCTCACGGCATAAAGTCTGCCAAACCAGGTCTGTGGACTGGTACAATTCTTAAAGAGCCAATAGGAAAACAGCTGTCTAGGGCCAGGAGACCTTAATGACATCCTGGAAAATATAGGACAGTATAAAAGGACTATAGAGAGTCAATGATTTTGAAAATTCCCAAGCTCTTAACTACAGCCCAAATGCACATGCTTTAAAATGTACCCACCCCCAAAGCAGTGCACAGCTAACTGTGACTTTGCAAGCCCAGCTTTAGCTCCGCGCATCCACACCGCAGCCTGCCAGAGGTCTGCAGACCACTCCCTACTCAGAGTCCAGCTAACCCTACCGGCCTCCCAGCAGGCTGCAGCATGATGCCCAGATCCAAGTCCAGGCACCAGCTGGAGGTCCCTTGGGCCTGCCTTCCCATGTGCCGTGTTCCTGACCGGTTGAACAATAATCAGAGAAGGCCACAGGAAAAGCCGCATCATGCCCACCGCGGCCACTCCCTGGCCCTCATCAACACCGGTTGCGCGCACTTCTACGGAAGAACACAGCATGCAGGAGCACGGGCCTGCTACAGAAGGCCGTGGAACAAGAAATACCAGCATGAGAGGGCGGCTGGTCTGCAGCTTTCAAAGAAGGCAGAGGCTGCGGAGCTTCTGCAGAGGAAGTGGTGATATTTCAACAGCCAACTCCCACAAAAACAGACAGTGAAGAGGAGTGGGGCAGCCGCAGCTGCCAGCACCCTAGCCACCTTCTCCAGGTATTCGGGGCTTGTCTGTGGCCACAGTGGTAAGCAGGACACACCTGAAAGTACCTTCTGGCGGAAAAGCAAGCACCTTAACGCTGCCCAATCGGTCCCTTCCTTCACTCCTCCCCATTCTTAACAAGAGATCTGGAATGGCGCGGACAGGGAAAGTTTCTCAGATTAAGGAGAAAACTAAGCCAAGTCAAGACGCCGCGGGTGGCCTCTCTCTCAACTCTCACTGGGCCAACTCCTACCTGCCTCGCCCGCGTCACCTGCTGTAAGGCTTG
This sequence comes from Homo sapiens, assembly GCF_000001405.40. Taxonomy (NCBI): domain Eukaryota; kingdom Metazoa; phylum Chordata; class Mammalia; order Primates; family Hominidae; genus Homo; species Homo sapiens. The sequence goes on from NC_000001.11 coordinate 230,425,176, forward strand.
CTCTTGGGCTGTCAGTGAAAAAACGACTCCCCCTGCCTCCACCAGCCACGCCGGGCTTTCAGAAAAGCCCCCTCAACTAGGAAAGCCTAACTTCAATCCACCCCTAAAAGTCCGACCCACAGGTGTGACAGACTTCCCATGCAGGGGCTGGGGTGCTCCCAGGAAGTGAAGGAAAAGGTCCCCGACGACATTGTCACTGGAAAAGTGCTGGCCACGGCCTCCGCCTTACCCTCTCCACCCACGGGTTCGGAGCCCCCAGGAGCAGTCAGACCGATCACCGCTCCTGCAGCCTCATTTGTTTCCGGAGAGACACCCACAAGCCAGCCCACGGAGAGTCTGGACTCGCCCGCCCCAGCACCCACGCCTCCCCCGCGCCCGGTTCCAGCGCCGCCCCCGACATCCACCCGCGGGCAGCCCCTTACCGCCGGTATCCTCGAAGCGCGGGGGCGGGCGGTCCCGCAGCGCTGCGCTCCAGCCCGCGCCGGCCTCGTCCTCCTCCGGCTCCTGTGCGTCCGGGGCGCGGGGCGGTGGCGGGGCGGCCCCTGGGGGTCCCGGGGGCTCGCGCTCGTCGTCCGAGGAGGCGGCCGAGGAGGAGCGCGAGGCGGCCGAGGTGCTGTAGAAGGGGTTCCCGCCGCTGTCCGGGCCGGACTCGCCGAACACGTCGTCCGAGATGTGCAGGCTCTCGTAGCGCGCGCGGGCAGCCTCGAGCAGCGCCGGCGCCCTCCTCCGCGCGCCCCCGCCGCCCTCGGCCATGGCCCCGGCCGCCGCCCGCGCGCCCGCCCCCACAGTGCCTCCCAGCCGCACACGCCGGGCCCTGGGCCCGCGCCGCGGCCCGCCGCCCCCCACCAGCGCAGCCCGCAGCACAGCGCCCGCCGCCCCGTGCCCGGCCGGCCCGCCGTCTTGGCCGCCTCGGGCCCAGCGCCCGGGGAAGCGCCCTCGGAGCTCGGGCGCCGCAGGCTGCGGGCCGCGGCGGGAGGCGAGCCGCGCGCGGGGCTGGCAGGGGCGACCCAGAGCGGGCGGGACGCAGAGGCTGCGGCCGAGACCAGGCGCCGCCGCCGCCACCGCCGCCACCACCGCCACCACCGCCGCCGCTGCGTCTCCTCGGCGCCCGCCGCCTCCCTGCCCGCCCTCTCCACGGCCTCCGGCGCTCGGCTGCCGACCTTCCCGGGCGCGAGCCGCCAGAGGCGGGCCCTGCCGCCCCTCACCTCCCGCCCGCCGGCCAATGGGGAGCCCGGCCCGGACAGCCGCGGGGGAGCTGGGCGGGCCCGGCGCGGGGAACGCCCCCACCCTCCTCCGCGGGGCGGGGCGGGGCGCGCGGCCGGGGCTGGCGGTTAGGGGGAGGGCCGCCGGCGGCAGTGCCGGTCTCCTCC